>NC_000010.11:53476428-53627943 GCF_000001405.40 Homo sapiens
TTTTGATGAGAAGAGTCAAACTGCAAAATATTTGAAGAGATTTATTCTGAGCCAAATATGAGTGATCAGTGGCCTGTAACACACCCCTCAGGAGATCCTGAGAATACATGCCCAAGGTAATCGGACTACAACTTGGTTTTATATATTTTAAGGAGACATAAAGCATCAATTGATATGTGTAAGATGTACATTGGCTTGGTTCAGAAAGATGGGACAACTGGAAACGGGCTTCCAGGTGATAGGTGGATTTAAAGATTTTTTGATGTGCAATTGGTTGAAAGAGTTATTATCCAAATACCTAGAATCAATAGAAAAGAATGTCTGGGTTACAATAAGGGCTTGTGGAGACCAAGGATTTATCATGCAGATGAAGCCTCCAGGTAGTAGGCTTCAGAGAGAATAGATTGTAAAGGTTTCTTATCAGACTTAAAGAGTCTCTTCTATCAGTCTTAAAATCTCTGTTTTAATGTTAATGCTGGTCAGTTGTGAGGCATGTCTGACCCTCCACTTCCCATCATGGCCTGAACTAGTTTTTCAGGGTAACAATGGAATGCCCTTGGTAGAGAGGAATGGTATATTCAGATGGTTGAGGGGCTTATAATTTTAGTTTTGGTTTATAGGCATAAGGTATTATCTTTTAATTTTAAAAGTCTAAATTAACTAATTTTTTTAGGCTTACGTTAATTAGTAATGGTAAAATTGAGGAGCTATTTGTACACAAAAACATTCAGCACCCTTCCAGATCGTTTAACAACTAATTGTTACATTGTTCTTGAAGCCAGTACACAGTTTTCAAACATAATAATCTACTACAAATATAAGGATCAGCCTAGTTCTAATACAAAGAAATAGCATTCTAGCCTGGGGTTTGAGACAGTGTAGGGAAGAGACTTGGTTTTGGCAGACAAAAGACATGAGCAGACTCCCAATAAGTCTTCTATGTCTGAGCATATTCCCTCCCCTACCTTCTTGCCTCCCTTAACAAGCTGACCCAAGTCACCTAGTAGAAAGCTACCCCTTCCTAACTTAGCTGACTAGGCTGAATTCCTAACCATAAAAGGAAGAACCTAATCGCTTATCTCCTTGAGTGATGCCTCCCAAGGTTGCTAAGGCAGGACTCTGACATTCCTGATAAGAATTTTAGCAGATGCAGTTGAAAACTCCCCACCTCTACATGCTTACACATCACTCTTTCCTCTGACTTAGCTTCCTTAAAATGACAAGAGCTCAGCCTTTCAGGAAGTTAACACCGGGATCTCTTTTCTAGTTGTTGGTTGTTGTTGTTGATTACCCAAATGTTTATCCTTTGCAATACTGTGGGGTTTTAAAATTATTTTTAATAAGTTTTGGGGGAACAGGTGGTGTTTGGTTACATTAATAGGTTCTTTAGTGGTGATTTCTGAGATTTTGGTGCACCCATAACCCAAGCAGTGCTCACTGTACCCAATGTGTAGTATTTTATCACTCTCCCCCACTCCCACCCTTTCCCCCAAGTCCCCAGAGTTCATTTTATCATGCTTATGCCTTTGCATCCTCATAGCTTAGTTCCCACTTATGAGTGAGAACATACTATGTTTGGTTTTCCATTCCTGAGGTACTTCACTTAGAATAATGGTTTCCAGCTCCATCCAGGTTACTACAAATGCCATTATTTCATTCATTTTTATGGCGGAGGTGATCCACCCCCCTCAGCCTCCCAAAGTGCTGGGATTACAGGCGTAATCCCGGTATTTATATATTACAGTATATATATATCCACAATTCTTTATCCACTCATTGATTGGTGGGCATTTGGGCTGGTTCCAGCATTTTGCAACTGCAAATTGTGCTGCTGTAAATGTTTGTGCAAGTTTGCAGCTGCTCCCTTGAAATTTCTCAAGCAGCAAACCTATTAAACCTTGTCTGAGAAAAATGTATGTTTGTCCTGGTGTTAATTTTTATTTACACGAGAGTCAGAGAACTTGGAGGCCCAAGCTGCAGTAACAAGTTGATATGTTTAATAATATAATATGGTTACTAATGAGGACAAAATGCTTTGTTTATTTGCTCCCTAAACATAGTAAATTCATAAGAATTAGATTATGCTTATATTGGTGGTTTATTGATATTAGAAAAGAGGTGTTTATTTAAATCTTGGTAAAAGTATTTCAGGCTCATCATTTCATGTATTCTTAATTTGCAGCAGAGAAAGAATATTCTTTTTTTTTTTTTTTTTTTTGACATGGAGTTTCGTTTTTGTTGCCCAGGCTGGAGTGCAATGGCACAATCTCAGCTCACCACAGCCTCTGCCTCCTGGGTTCAAGCGATTCTCCTGCCTCAGCCTCCCAAGTAGCTGAGTTTACAGGCATGTGCCACCACGCCCAGCTAATTTTGTATTTTTAGCAGAGACAGGGTTTCTCCACGTTGGTCAAGCTGGTCTCGAACTCCAGACCTCAGGTGATCCACCCGCCTTGGCCTCCCAAAGTGCTGGGATTACAGGCGTAAGCCACCACACCCAGCCTGAGGAAAAATATTCTTAAGGAAACTTGAAATATTATAAAATTTAGTAGTTTAGTTGTTATGACATAGATATTGCAATTCTAATTTGATTAATATACTAGGATATTTCAAAATAGCAGTTACATTTTTCAAAATTCTTAGAGGAATCATGATATCTGTTTGTTCTTGTTTTTAAATTATTTATTCATTCATTTATTTTATAAATCTCTTCCCAAAATGTATAGGTCAAGAATTTAGCGGCTTCCCCTATACACTGACTATAGCTAATAGTGCAAGGTGTGAAACTGATTTGGCTGAAATGTTCATTCACTTTAGCTCCATGAATCCAAACTCTACCCCAGTGAATGTTCCATGAGCCAAGACCATAGGTACAACAATTAGAATTCATTTCTTTTTTAAGTGACTTGATAAATACACTGTTAGTCCTTTGAGATAATACAAGTGGACATTGAATCCAATTGAACATTATTATATCAATGATGCGAAAAGAACAATGATGCTTGAATTTTCAGCAGGTACAGATACTGTAAAAGTGCACATTCCTCAATGAACTTAGATACCCCTTAAAAGTGTATGTCAGCCACAGACAATTACTAAACATATGCAAAGACAGACACAAAGCCACTTAATGGAGCTGCCCCTGCCTTCTTTGTCCTCTGAATTTCTTTCTCTTCCTGTTGAAAGCCTTTCCAAATTCCTTCCTTCTACCTTGGGAACGTTTCTTTAGGCATTCAGTACATCACATTTTTCAGAAGCTTCCCCCAGACTTGTTGTCTAAATTAGGCAACTATTAATTCTACTGTAATCTATAGAATATGTTTAGGTGATGGCATGCAATCTTAGCTGTGTTCACTACATTTTGATGCTGGGTTCACTATCTTTGAAGCAGTGAGTGACAGATATTTCAAGGACCATAATGAATTTGATAATATATCACTTAGCTGAGATGCCCAACAGAACTTTCTTAACCAGTCTGCGTGTCACCAAAGGCAACTAGTTGGGGTTGGAGTGCCTCAGTGGCCAGAGGGGATTAATAATCTAAGGTAAAACTGAAATCTACGCATTGGACATCTCACCTAGTCATAGCCTGAAATTTAACATATAGAACACTTCCTCTGAACCATTATTAAGCATTAAAAATATGCCAAGAAAATAGTTAAAATTATTCATGAATATAGATGCATTGCACTTTACATTTTTCTCATTGATATTTAAAAAAAACTTTCCTTTTTTTATGTTTCTGAATTCATAGATATGGACATGAAGCTTATATATAAAATCAATAGTTTTTTTAATTTTAGAAAATTTTTAAACGTATTTATTTCTTTAGGTTATGTGAACTATAAATATTTCAACTTTTTTGTTTGTTTCAAAGCATTAAGTTCCAGTATCTAACAGATATGTTCGTGTGTGTGCACATATATGTGCTTATATGCATTTGTATGCATGTCTTTGGGGAGACAGTTTCTTCCTGATAAATATAAATAACTAAAGCTAAGTTTGTAAAACCCAGAAGAATCAATTTTCCCCTATTCACTTCAGTGAGATTTGCTTAAAATATCTACTATTACTAGATACAAAAAACTCATTCAAAGATCCACTATCCCATTCATGTGCAGATCCTCTTTTCTCTCGGTAGGAAACATATAAAATTAATCCATCCATTTGAAGATGTTCTGTGTTTATTTTTAAATTAACATTTCAAACAAGTAATATATTATTAACCTCCTGTTTTAATGTAATATTTCTAAGTATTACTACGTGTACAGCTGCATTATTCTTTTGATATGTATTTATTTAATCTTTTAAATTGAGTGACAAGTTTCCCAGCATTAAGACATTTTAATAAATCCTGAGAATTTTGAATCAGAAAATAGATATTTCTTTCCCAAGCAATTATAAAAATGATTCTGAAAGCATTTCATATAGTCTTAAATTTAAAGAATTACCTCTGTAATAAAAAATTTTGTTATCTAAATTTCTTTTCAACATTATTTAATTCATATAAATTATTTTTCAAAACCTTCCTGTGAAAAGGACTTAACTTTTGGATAAAATTCTACAATGTTATCTTCATCTAGCTTAATAAAATTAGCTTAAAATGGTCTCAATAATATTTTCATAATAATTATAATAAGAGTGATACGATGGCTTGGAATAATGGATTTTCTGAATCCAAGATAATAGTATTACATCCTACAAGTAATTTTTTGTATAATCTTTAGCCACTGCTTACTCTTACCATTTTAATAATTTCAAAAACTTCAACTCTCAAGCAATTAACTAAAACAACATCTAGCTAAAAGTCTTTGTGCTAATTGTCTCATCAAGTTGGTTAAACTGAAAATCGTTTCCTAGAATCTTTTGTTTTGTTTTGTTTTGTATGTTTCTGGGCTATATTTGGTTAAAAGAGAAACTAGCACAAAATTTAGGAGTGGGCAAGAAATCAGAGATTTTTATGTATAAGCAGTATTTGTGTTCAACTACAGTGATATCAGATATAAAAGTGCTTCATGTCTACGTTGTTTTTAATCTAGCTCCTCTTCCTAATGGCTGGCTTTGCTAACCATCAGCAGCCCCAGAGACCATGCATACAAGCCATGTAGTCAACCGTGGGGTTTTACCTGCAGTAAAAGCAGGTTGGAGAAAGATTGTAGCACTGGGCAAAACCTGGCAGGACCAAACTTCACTTCAGAAAACTCAGCTTTTCTGTGATTATACATTTTTAATCTATAAAATAAAGGTAATATAACTATCTTAAAATGTATTTTGAGATTAAAGTACTAATCATTTGAAAAAGCAAGTTATATACTACATCACATTAAGTTTATGTAATCAGAATATTTTTTACTATTACTAGCTTCCTACCAACATGCTACTACCCATAATAAAGTAAGTTATTTTGTCTGAATTGGGACTTTTTAATTCAAATCATCCAAATTGTTTTATGTTAGATTTTATTCATTTATTGAAGGCTATTCTCTAATATGAGACATTTCATTTGACATTCCTGACATGGTCTATACTGTACCAAGCCCCAAAAGGGTAAAAATAGAAAGCAACACTATAAAGGCAAAGTTCTTTTTTGGTGAGCGGGAGACTGAGAAATTAAAGCCCCCAAATTGGTAATGAGAATAATCATAATATGATAATCTCTAATATGATACAATAAAATAATATATGTTAAGTCCTTGTTGCGGATTAAATTATGTCCTTCAAAAAGATATGTTGAAGCCCTACCCCCTGGTACCTATATATGCACTATTTTTTTTTGGAAATAGGGTCATTGTGAATATAATCTAGGTAAAATGAAGTCATAATGGATTAGGGTGGGTTCTAATGTAGTGACTAGGCTTTTCATCAGAGAGACTCTAGGGATATTTACATTCAGAGACACAGATGCACAGGGAAGAAGGCCATGTGAAGGCAGAAACAGAAATTATAGTGATGTTGCCATAAACCAAGGAACTTGCTGCCAAATTGCCAACAACAGCCAGAAACTAGTTAAGAGGCAAGAAAGGATTCCTCCCTAGAGCTTTCAGTGAAAGTATGGCCCTGCTGACACCTTCATTTCAGAAGTCGAGTTTCCAGAAGTGTTAGATAATAAATTTCCATTGTTTTAAGTCACCAGGTGTCTGGTAATGTTTTACCACAATGCTAGGATAGTAATATAGCCAGTTTTTACAAAGTATTCTCATTAAAACACTAGATCTGCAGAATTTAAATAGATTACTTCAGGGGAAAAAAGGTTTACAGTCAAATAAATGTGCAATAACCTAGGTTTTATTTATTAAATTGGCTGGGTTCAATTGTTGCATTAAAATGCCATGTGTGCATTGTTAAATTTATATGGCATTTTCAAAGCCATTTGTAAAAAAAAAAATTTAATGTAGTATTCATAGAATTGGCTATCTTAAATGATAAACTTTTGAAAACACTGCTAGAGCCAACTTAAATTCTAAAAGCAAAATGTACATCCAAATAATATTTACACAGAATTAAGCAAGTCTTATCCCAGAATTATAAAATTCTGGTAGAATATTAGGCAATATATTACTGTTATAAAATAGAAGCATAAATATGACAAGTATCAATGTTGTAATCATAGGTATGGTGAAGATATTCAACAGAAAATAAACAGGTTGTTATCTATAAATTCTGTAGAAATAAGAGAATGTTAATAGTAAAGCTCAAGAACCATCTTACTATCCTCAAGAATATGAAACTTGCTATCAGTGAATTTTTATTACCAAATATTGATCTGAAAATTCCAGTCAATGCAATCACCTAAAACATAGTAAGAGTAATAATTATTCAAAATGAGGATATAGAATTATCATGTTAAAAGAAAACCATTAGACAAGTTAAATTTAACGAAGTTTTTAATTGAAGAAAGAATGATTTGCTAAAGGACAATCCTCCTCCTTCTAAGCAAAACAGGTTCACAGTGACTCTGGGACTTTCCCATGGTTGGAGATTTGGCTACTTGTTACAAGAGTCCATTCACATTTCCAGTTAGATTACAGTTCACTATGTATGGAGAAACCTTTAGGCTGAACTTAAAATATATAAGGAAGCAGCTTTAGGCTAAACTTAATTTAATAATTCCTCCCTTTTGGTTAATCTCTCAAAATTAAGAAGTTGATCAAAACTTTAGGCATTGATGTCATTCTTTCACCGTTGTAAATGAACTAACTTCTTCTCAATTCCACTGGAAAATAGCAAAACAGTGGGTTTTGTAAGGTGAAAACAAGCAAAGAGAACAACGGTAAAAAAAAATAATAATAATAATAACTGATTGGTTTCTTCAGGTCACTTTTCTATAAAGGTTAAAGCAGAGAGGACTTCCTTATTATTCTGTGATCTCCTGTTTTCAGAAGACAAAATAGGTTTGTTTTGAGATCTCTTTGCTTCCTTAGAGTTTCCAATTTCTTATATGGCATTTAGCAGGAATGACTCCATTTTGTTTGGTCTGGTCTGTTAGGGCCTAGTGCTTGAGCTCAGTCTAAAATCATGGCCTCTTATAGTTTTGTTTAATAATCATTATATGCAGAAAACATGATCTCCCCAAAATACCTTAGAGAACCAGCTGAAAAATAATAAAATCTAATGAAGTCATTATGATATTTGGTCAATTTTAATGATATATTTAGTTGTTTTTTAATAATGGAAAAAGATACAAACTATATATAGTAGGTAAGTAAATATATAACATAGTATATAGTGAATATATAAAATACAAGTTTTATATTAAATTATCTTAGAAAAAACTAGAAAAGAAATCTAAAGTTTCATATTAATCTTTTTGTTAAGCAGAGGTATAATAAGAGGTGATTTCCTTAGGGCATTTTTTCAAATTATTTCTGTGGAATATGGACTAATTATACACAAAAACACATATATAATTATTTATATGATTTATGAGAAATGAAGTTCCCATAATATGAGTTGTATTATTTTTCATTTAAATGACACATATAAATGAAATTTCATTTAGTAAACATGAAGAATAATAGTTGTCTCATTTCAGCTATAAATTTCTCCTACCATTTTCCCTTTTCTTTGTCCTCTTGTTTCTCCTCCCATTCCTCTCCCAAGCCCCTCAATCCTAGTCTTCTCCTTTTTGTTCTTTTTAAGTAACATTAACATGGAAAAAACTTCATATTTGAATACCAAGTTTTTTTGAGTAATGTCAATTATTTAGACTGGCATTCAAATGTGGAGTTTTAGATTTTGTGCATTTTTTTCTACATTGCATGAATTATAGAGGAAAGTTTTCTGAATGGTAATACTTGTGTTCTTCAAAGGGCAAGATATAGCTTTGCATAATCCCTGGCGGAGGTCCATTTTCCATTTTCATCTGCTTTTTCTCTTCCCTTTTCAGCTACCTTTAAGGTTAGGATGATAGGACTAAAACAGTTGGGCAAGTACAGACTTAAGAAAAAATGATAGATTACTGAAGAAGCCTTTGCTTTGGTTTAATTTTGTGTTAATGTACCTAAACCCCTAATCTGATTTCCTATGGGTATCTTAGGGAGAGTGACCCTCTCTTGTCTTCCTGGTTCATGCATAAAATTTCTTGGGGTTTCTTTAGACACCAGTTGCTATTCCCCTGGCTATGTCACTCGAGTGGGAAAATAGTCAGACAAAGATATTTTTGTGGCAATATCCATGTTGTAGTGATGTACTCAAGGCATACAATAAAGTAGATAGATATATGAGATACTGCCGAGACCAGCTCGGTTGCGGAGACCCTAACCCAGCGGCGCTAGAGGAATTAAAGACACACGCACAGAAATATAGAGGTGTGAAGTGGGAAATCAGGGGTCTCAACAGCCTTCAGAGCTGAGAGCCCTGAACAGAGACTTACCCACGTATTTGTTAACAGCAAACTAGTCATTAGCATTGTTTCTATAGTTATTAAATTAACTAAAAATATCCCTTATGGGAAATGAAGGGATGGGCCGAATTAAAGGAATAGGTTGTACTGGTTAACTGCAGCAGGAGCATGTCCTTAAGGCACAGATTGCTCATACTATTGTTTGTGGCTTAAGAATGCCTTTAAGCAGTTTTCCTCCCTGGGCAGGCCAGGTGTTCCTTGCCCTCATTCCAGTAAACCCACAACCTTCCAGCGTGGGCATTAGGGCCATTATGAACATGTTACAGTGCTGCAGCGGTTTTGTTTATGGCCAGTTTCGGGGGGCCTGCTCCCAACATGTCCCCCTTCTTTGATTTGCAAATCAATAAAGGCAAAGGTAGTTTTGTCACGGTGAGCTACTTCTTGCAGGAGTCAGGATCCACATCTGCAAACTATACAAAGACAAATAACAGAGATTAAAAGCACATTCATCATTGAAATCACAGAGCTTCCAAGTGTTTTTATCCATTTTAATGGATTACTAGCTGCTAATCTGTCTGCAGCTCCTTTAAGCACTCCAGTTCCTGTTATTAAGGTCAGGTGTGCCTGGGATGCTTTAAATATTTGTTCTTTTAATTTTGTAATATCCAAAAACAAGTTTGTAGAGTATCCTTTTAGATACTTTTTTATTCTTTCCCAAATTTTGATCTTATTAAGAGCATTTAATAGTTTCCACAATTGTTTCTTCTTCTTTTAAGTATCAGATAATGGCAGTGCCACTTTTAACTACTCCAAATGTAAGATGACAATTTCCATTTCAAAAGTGGGTTTTTCTCTTCTATCGCACTGTCAGGCTACAAATTTTCCGCATTTTTATGCTCTGTTTCTCTGTTAAAACTGAATGCTTTTAACAGCACCCAAACCGCCTCTTGAATGCTTTGCTGATTAGCAGTTTCTTCTGCCAGATACCCTAAATCATCTTCCTCAAGTTCAAAGTTTCACAAATGTCTAGGGCAGGTGCCAAATGCCACCAGTCTCTTTGTTAAAACACAGCAAGTGTCATGGTTACTCCATTTGCCAACAAATTCCTCATCTCCATCTGAGGCCACCTCAGCCAGCGTTTCATTGTCCATATCACTATCAGCATTTTGGTCAAAGCCATTCAACGAGTCTCTAGGAAGTTCCAAACTTCCCACATTTTCCTGTCTTCTTCTGAGCCCTCCAAACTGTTCCAACCTCTTCCTGTTACCCAGTTCCAAAGTTGCTTCCACATATTTAGGTATGTTTACAGCAGTGCCCCAATCCTCTGGTACCAATGAACTGTATTAGTCTGTTCTCATGCTGCTGATAAAGAGATACCTCAGACTGGGTAATTTATGAAGAAAAGGGGTTTAATGGACTCACAGTTCCACATGACTGGGGAGGCCTCACAATCATGGCAGAAGGCAAAGAAGAAGCAAAGTAACATCTTACACGGCAGCAGAGAAGAGAGAATAACAGCAAAACTAAAGGAGAAACTCCTTGTAAAACCATCGGATCTCATGAGACTTATTCACTACCAGGAGAACAGTATGGAGCAAACTGCCACCATGATTCAATTATCTCCTAGATGGTCCCTCCCAAAACATGTGGGAATTATGGGAGCTACAATTCAAGATGAGATCTGGTTGGGGACACAGCCAAGCTGTATCAATAATATCAATAACCTATAAATATAATGTGATTCCCACATAATACAGCTCCATTTTTGTCTGGAATTAATGAAGCAGGATATTTTCTTGACCACTTCATGGGACTTGTGACAGCGTTGCCTCATTTACTCAGCCCGCCCCTGTCTATCCCTTGTGGGAGGAGGCGTGTGAGTGAATGAGTGCACAAACAGGAGCAAGCGAGTGCAGGATCCAGCGGGTTGCTTTTGTGTGCTGGCAGGAACAAACTCCACGCAGGCCCTGCAGCAGCATCCAGGTGGGGATGCTTGCAACTCCTGAAGCCCCAGAGGGCATGTTACAGTGCTCTTTTAGCTCTGCCAACCGTGGACAGCTTAACAGCTCAGTGACCCTTTTGCCATTTCATGTGAGCAGCTGCTCTCTGTCAGTGAGGGCAAAGAGCCAATGTGATAGCCTTTTATATCCACACCCATGGCTCCTGAGCTCTTGTCTGGCATCCAGGAAGAAGGAGGTCACATGAACAAATTGAAGGATGGTAAATGCGGGGGATTTTATTGCTAATGAAAGTGGCTCTCAGTGGGAAGGGGAGCTGTAAATCGGAGGGGGTAGGAAGATTACCTTCCCCTGAAGTCAGGTCATCTCCAGCCAGATTCTTCTCCGAAGTTACGCTGTTAAGCTGTCCTTCTGAAGTCAAGCTGCTTTTCTCCCACGTCCAGCCATAGTCCCATGTACTAGCTGAGTCTGGGGTTTTAATAGGCACAGGATGGCGCAGGGCGGGGCCAGGGGTGGTTGAGGAAAAAGCAGCATTCAAGTGGGAAAACAGGTATATAAGCTCTCACTTTGGCCTGTGGTTTCAGGTTTTTTGGCTTGAGAGTGGCGGTTTGTCAGTGACCCACACTTTTCTGGCTAGAATTTCTCTGCCCCCGTCCCTGTCGATAAGAGAACAAGCAAGTTAATTTGGAATAAAAACACAAGCAAGACCATTCAGGGAAAGACTGAAAAAGGGCAAATTTTCAGTAATAAAAATACACAAAATTAAAACCAACTTTTGCAGCTTGAATAGATGAAAAATTAAAATAAAATATACAAAAACTGGAAAAAACACACTTGGGAATTTAGTTAATGATAAAAACATTTCAGAGCATTGGGAAAATATAAATTTTTAAGCAAATATTATCAGGATAGTGGAATAGCCATACGCAAAGAGGTAATTTTTGTTCTGTTTTAGTTAGTACTATTCCTTAGTCTTGGAATATTTTTTCCTCTTTCCCTCATTTGACCTTTCTTCTTTGTCCATCAACCCACCACTTGGCTGTCCTGCAAGATCCCAATTTTGTCACATTACTTTCCTAAGTACATCACTCCTCTCAGTGGATGATATCTCTACATGACAAAGTATTTTTCAGAAATTGTCTTTTTCAGAAATTTTATATTTTCTTATTCTAAAGTGATATGGTTTACTAATAAATAAGTTTGGGCTAGAATGAAATGCCTCAGTTTATGCATCAGTGTTATGCTCCTTAACTCTGCATTATATGTTGTTAAAAAGACATGATTGTCTTTGAGTTGCATACTTTAAAAATAGTAAAAATGGAAACAAGAATAACACAAGTTGTAAAATTATTAATACAATTGCACAATTTTTAACATTTTAGATATTTTTTCCTACTGCTTAAAGCTGTAGGAAGCAGGAACCACATCACTTTTCAACAGATCTTACCCATCTTTTGGATTAAAAGAAGCTTTCACTCTGTATGCTAGCATTCAATAATGCTAGTTTTCTTCCATTCTGCATCTTTGACTCAATTTGCTCAGTAGGCAGTTATCTGTATGGTTTCTAGACACACAGGAGGCATCATTATGTTCCATTGAGTGAGAACTTAGCTAGGGGCAAGAAAGTACTCTAACCTAGTGTTACCAAATAAAGTTCAAAGGGGATTTTAAATTTCTCCTCCTGAACTCAATACAAAAAGCTTAATAGGTGTGATACAAATGCTTGCGATACATAAGCCCAGAGGGTCTTGTTCAGTGTAGTTATATGAACAGACCTTATAAATTCTAATGCTATGTAGGCACTGAGTATTTTACTTTATTCTAACTTTCTTTGTGTCTTTTTGTTCAAAAATATTTTTAAAATACGCAAACACATGCAGACATTTTAAAGAGACTTGGTTATGCCGCAGAAATGAAGATATACTGACACTCGAATACAATGTGGTTTGAAAAATAACAGTTACATACAAGCTTAGAAAGTACTCTCTTTGAGCTTTGTATCACCATTATTGAAACTAGGGAGAATTTAAAATCACAATTTAAACTAACAATTATAAAATGTAACTTAATTTTAAATACAGTAGTCCCTTGTCTTAGTCTGTTTGTGTTCTATAAAAGGATACCTGAGGCTGGGTAATTTATATATTAAAAAATAGGTTATTTGGTTTATGCTTCTGTTGGCTGTTTAAAAATCCGTGGAACCAGAATCTGCTTCTTGTGAGGACTTTATTTAGGCTGCTCACACTCATAGCAGCAGGCAAAAGGGAGCTGGTATGTGCAGAGATCACATGGCAAGAGAGGAAGCAAGAGACAGAGAGTAGGTGCCAGGCTCTTTTTAACAGCCGGCCAGCTCTAGAGAGAACTAATGGAGTGATAATACACTCACTGTCCCACTCTGGGGAAAGGCATTAATCTCTACATGAGGGATCTGCCCTAATAACTCAAATATCTCCCATAGGTATCAACCTCTAAGATTGGGGATCAAATTTCAACATGAGATTTAGAGAGGTCAAACAAAAAACAAGCTAGAGCATCTTCCCTTATCTGTAGGGATTACACTCTAAGACCCCTACTGGATGCCTGAAACTGCTGATAGTACCAAACTGAAGGACATCATAATATTTCATCCCCAAATATACTTCTTTGATATATTTTGAGATCGCTGTTTAGAGAGCCAGCAAACAGAAGTATCCCTGAAAAGATGACTCGTGTAAGGGAGATTTGCATCTGTAGAGACTTTGCACCGATGCAGCCAGGCTTTCTCTGAGGCCCTTTTTTTGTGTGGATCTAGGAAAGATTAACTGAGAGTCTGACACCTTCAAAAGTCTGAAAGAAACATTTACCATCTCTTTTTTTCTGAAGGCTGCTACTTGTGAGGTTTTATCTGCATCACAAGATGACCTTTGCTAACCAGGGTTTCTCTTCTCTTCTTCCCATAACCTGTTTTGCCAAGATCCAAGACTTCCACTCTTTTTGTAACCTCAAAACGATATTTAAGCCACTGTAGTCCATTGATGGCAATGGAATAATCACTCTGTAGTTATCTCCATTGATGTTAATATATTTTTTTTTTACCTTCATTCCTATTAGTCTGCCCTTGTGAGTTGAGTTTTCAGTGAATCTTCAGAGGACAAAGAGAAAGTTTTCCCTTGCCCCATAAAAAACTCTATATATACTGTGTGTTTTTTCTATCAGATAATCAAAACAGCTACTAAATGATGAATGGGAAGGTAGCATATGTAGTGTGGATATACTGGACAAAGGATAATTCATGTTCAGGCAAGATAGAGAGGAACAGCATGAGATTTTATCACGTTGCCCAGAACAGCGCACAAATTAAAACTTACAAACTGTTTATTTCTGTGATTTTCCATGTAATATTGTTGGATCCTTGTTGACAGTAGGTAACTGAAACCATAGAAAATGAACCTGTGGATAAGGGAGACTACTGTAGCAATGTATGATTCTGATAAATTTATCTTTTAAAATAGAATGTTACATTAAATAACTATGTTGCAATCAATTTGTATATGATGTAATATCAACATTCAAATGATAATTTTCATCTCAACTTAAACTTTGTTTCATTTTAAGAAATTATAGGTCATACTGCAAGGTTTATGCATTATTTCTCTTGTTTTACTATATCATAAGTAAAAGAACTTAAATGTAGAAAATTTGAGATATGCAAAAATGATAAAACCTGCAACATAGAAGTTGCAGACTAATTGTAGTCATATGTTTCAAAATGTGAAAACATATTGTTATCTGCTTTTAAATTGGTAATATGAGTGAAAGTCCTCTGTGTTAATAACTCAAATGCTTAGAATTTAATTAAATATTTTTCTTATTCATATATTTTATCTTTAAAAATTAACAAAAATTGTCCAGACATGGTGGCTCACGCCTATAATCCTAGAACTTTGAGGGGCCGAGGCAGTTAGATCATTTGAGGTCAGGAGTTCGAGACCAGCCTGGCCAACATGGTGAAACCCTGCCTCTACTAAAACTACAAAAAATTAGCCGGGTGTGGTGGCAGGTGCCTGTAATCCCAGCTACTCAGGAGGCTGAGTCAGGAGCATAACTTGAACCCAGGAGGCAGAGACTGCAATGAGCCAAGATCATGCCGTTGCACTCCAGCCTGGGCAACAGGAGCAAGACTCCTTCTCAAAAAAAATAATAAAATAAATAAATAAATTTTGTTGTCAGAATATATTTAATTAAGAAGATAAAATTTAATTTAAATTATTTAAGTTACCTAACCACACAATTCATTTTTTATGGGCAGAAGCCCAATAATCCTCCCTCAGTAACCAAATTCATTCTATAATTGAAAACAATTATTTTCATACCCAAAAAGTGAATATCAGCCCAAGCTGTGACCAGAATGGACTTCATTAACATTCTCTTCAGCTTGACTAAATCTTGGACAGGTTTCTTCCTGGCTATAGGTCTTTGACCTCCCTATTTTTAGAGACTTTATTGTCAAAAACTTGCAATTAACGAATTCTTTCTCTGCACCTTTGAGGTATAAATCTTTGCCTGGCCTCTCCCCAGTTTTACAACAAAGTAATGTCTTTCTCGTGAGTCTGGGAGCCATCCCTTTGAAATATAATTACAGTAAAATGAACAACAAAATAAAATCACTCCTAGCTCTCAGTCTCTGTGTGGGTGGGCAGAAGCCTACTTAATTAGCAAACACAGATTACAAGTACCAATTATCAAACACAGATGGCCTAAAGAAATTGACCAACCTTCCGATAAAGTCTTCCTGTACTCTTCTGTTAGCTCACCCCAGTACTTAATAACTTTCCTGCCTTTTGTTTCACCACAGCTGAGTTCAATCTCTCTTTCCTAGTGCAATAGCCTTGACCTTTACTGCTAGTCTTTTATGAAGTCTTCCTTGCTGTTTAATTTGCCTAGTGTAATTTTCTTTAACATCTGGCAAATTACTTATTAAGCATTATAGTTTAATGACTAACAGCATATGTTCTCAAGGTAGACTGCTTGTTCACAATTTCAGCTACATGATTTCTAGATATGTGAGTGTGTGAGAGACCTTCAAGAAACTGTTTAAGCATCCTCTGCCCATTTCCTTATCTATAAAACGAGAATGTTGTTATAATCTCTCTCATGTGGTAACTTACTTAAGATAGCTTGTGTTAACACGTGTATATTGGTACATATCTAATATAATTTTCCATAATGGCAATGTGGTCTTTACTGATCTTTCTAGACTATGACTGGCAACTTAAGTTTAATGGTGAGTGATACATGTAGGAGAAGTCAGGTGTGAGTGTCTACTGGTGTCCTGTAACCATCCCAATTAAATTCTTTAAATTAAGTTTCATCACTTCTAAAACACTGTTTTCATCATAAAATATACCTGGCATCGGAATTGCTGTGTATGAGGGACTTCATCGCTGGTTTTGATTTATCTGAAAGCCCAGATTCTGACTAAAATGTTCACATAGGTCTTCTTTAGTTCAAGTACCTTTCATGCGCGTCCGTGTGAAGACACCACCAAACAGGCTTTGTGTGAGCAACATGGCTGTTTACTTCACCCGGGTGCAGGCGGGCTGAGTCCGAAAAGAGAGTCAGCAAAGGGAGATAAGGGTGGGGCCGTTTTATAGGATTTGGGTAGGTAAAGGAAAATTACAGTCAAAGGGGGTTTGTTCTCTGGCGGGCAGGAGTGGGGGTCGCAAGGTGCTCAGTGGGGGTGCTTTTTGAGCCAGGATGAGCTAGGAAAAGGACTTTCACAAGGTAATGTCATCACTTAAGGCAAGGACTGGCCATTTACACTTCTTTTGTGGTGGAATGTCATCAGTTAAGGTGGGGCAGGGCATATTCACTTCTTTTGTGATTCTTCAGTTACTTCAGGCCATCTGGTGTATAGCTGCAAGTCATAGGGGATGTGATGGCTTGGCTTGGGCTCAGAGGCCTGACATTCCTGCCCTCTTACATTAATAAGAAAAATAAAACAAAATAGTGTTGAAGTGTTGGGGTGGCGAAAATTTTTGGGGGGTGGTATGGAGAGAGAATGGGCGATGTTTCTCAGGGCTGCTTCAAGCGGGATTAGGGGTGACGTGGGAACCTAGAGTGGGAGAGATTAAGCTGAAGGGAGGTCTTGTGGTAAGGGGTGATATTGTCGGGATGTTAGAAGAAACATTTGTCATATAGAATGCTTGGTGATGACCTGGATACAGTTTTAGATGAATTGAGAAACCAAATGGAATAACAGAAGGAGAAAAACGGGTATAAAAGGTCTAAGAATTGGGATGACTCAGGATATCTGATCAGAGAGTGCCTAAGGAGATTCAGCATAGTCCTGCCAGCAAAGATTATTTAATTACTTCAAGAGTTAAGAGTGGCAGTTTGGGGATAGCACCAGGAGATATCAGCTGTGATGGCATGGAAAAACAGTGTAAACCGGCAGTGTAAACAAGAGCAGGGCATGTACGAGTAGTTGAGAACGGTGAATAGGAGTATGACTAGACAGAAGATACTAGGGATGACAAGTTTTTTGGGGACACAGTCTAAGTTGGTCTGGTGTCTGGAATGAGACTGGGGCCTAATAAAAAGGAGCGTCTATACAGGAGCTTAAATGGGCTGTACCCTGTAGCAGTCCGAGGACAGGCCTGAATTCTGAGAAGGAAAAGTGGTAAAAGTATTGTCCAGTCCTTTTTAAGTTAGTGGCTGAGCTTGGTGAGGTGTGTTTTTATTTTTTATTTCTTTCTTTCTTTATTTTTTTTCAGAAGTGTAAATTTTGTTATTTTAATTATTGATTATTATTATACTTTAAGTTTTAGGGTACATGTGCACAATGTGCAGGTTAGTTACATATGTATACATGTGCCATGCTGGTGCACTGCACCCACTAACTCGTCATCTAGCATTAGGTATATCTCCCAATGCTATCCCTCCCCCCTCCCCCCACCCCACAACAGTCCCCAGAGTGTGATGTTCCTCTTCCTGTGTCCATGTGTTCTCATTGTTCCATTCCCACCTATGAGTGAGAATATGTGGTGTTTGTTTTTTTTTTCTTGTGATAGTTTACTGAGAATGATGATTTCCAATTTCATCCACGTCCCTACAAATGACATGAACTCATCATTTTTTATGGCTGCATAGTATTCCATGGTGTATATGTGCCACATTTTCTTAATCCAGTCTATCATTGTTGGACATTTGAGTTGGTTCCAAGTCTTTGCTATTGTGAATAGTGCCACAGTAAACATACGTGTGCATGTGTCTTTATAGCAGCATGATTTCTAGTCCTTTGGGTATATACCCAGTAATGGGATGGCTGGGTCAAATGGTATTTCTAGTTCTAGATCCCTGAGGAATCGCCACACTGTCATCCACAATGGTTGAAGTAGTTTACATTCCCACCAACAGTGTAAAAGTGTTCCTATTTCTCCACATCCTCTCCAGCACCTGTTGTTTCCTGACTTTTTAATGATTGCCATTCTAACTGGTGTGAGATGGTATCTCATCGTGGTTTTGATTTGTATTTCTCTGATGGCCAGTGATGGTAAGCATTTTTCAATGTGTTTTTTGGCTGCATAAATGTCTTCTTTTGAGAAGTGTCTGTTCATGTCCTTTGCCCACTTTTTGATGGGGTTGTTTGTTTTTTTCTTGTAAATTTGTTTGAGTTCATTGTAGATTGTGGATATTAGCCCTTTGTCAGATGAGTAGGTTGTGAAAATTTTCTCCCATTTTGTAAGTTGCCTGTTCACTCTGATGGTAGTTTCTTTTGCTGTGCAGAAGCTCTTTAGTTTAATTAGATCCCATTTGTCAATTTTGGCTTTTATTGCCATTGCTTTTGGTGTTTTAGACATGAAGTCCTTGCCCATGCCTATGTCCTGAATGGTAATGCCTAGGTTTTCTTCTAGGGTTTTTATGGTTTTAGGTCTAACGTTTAAGTCTTTAATCCATCTTGAATTGATTTTTGTATAAGGTGTAAGGAAGGGATCCAGTTTCAGCTTTCTCCATATGGTTAGCCAGTTTTCCCAGCACCATTTGTTAAATAGGGAATCCTTCCCCCATTGCTTTTCTCAGGTTTGTCAAAGATCAGATAGTTGTAGATATGTGGCGGTATTTCTGAGGGCTCTGTTCCTTTCCATTGATCTATATCTCTGTTTTGGTACCAGTACCATGCTGTTTTGTTTACTGTAGCCTTGTAGTATAGTTTGAAGTCAGGTAGTGTGATGCCTCCAGCTTTGTTCTTTTGGCTTAGGATTGACTTGGCGATGCGGGCTCTTTTTTGGTTCCATATGAACTTTAAAGTAGTTTTTTCCAATTCTGTGAAGAAAGTCATTGGTGGCTTGATGGGGGTGACATTGAATCTGTAAATTACCTTGGGCAGTATGGCCATTTTCACGATATTGATTCTTCCTACCCATGAGCATGGAATGTTGTTCCATTTGTTTGTATCCTCTTTTATTTCATTGAGCAGTGGTTTGTAGTTCTCCTTGAAGAGGTCCTTCACATCCCTTGTAAGTTGGATTCCTAGGTATTTTATTCTCTTTGAAGCAATTGTGAATGGGAGTTCACTCATGATTTGGCTCTCTGTTTGTCTGTTATTGGTGTATAAGAATGCTTGTGATTTTTGTACATTGATTTTGTATCCTGAGACTTTGCTGAAGTTGCTTATCAGCTTAAGGAGATTTTGGGCTGAGACGATGGGGTTTTCTAGATATACAATCATGTCATCTGCAAACAGGGACAATTTGACTTCCTCTTTTCCTAACTGAATACCCTTTATTTCCTTCTCCTGCCTAATTGCCCTGGCCAGAAATTCCAACACTATGTTTAATAGGAGTGGTGAGAGAAAACATCCCTGTCTTGTGCCAGTTTTCAAAGGGAATGCTTCCAGTTTTTGCCCATTCAGTATGATATTGGCTGTGGGTTTGTCATAGATAGCTCTTATTATTTTGAAATACGTCCCATCAATACCTAATTTTTTGAGAGTTTTTAGCATGAAGGGTTGTTGAATTTTGTCAAAGGCCTTTTCTGCATCTATTGAGATAATCATGTGGTTTTTGTCTTTGGTTCTGTTTATATGCTGGATTACATTTATTGATTTGCGTATATCGAACCAGCCTTGCATCCCAGGGATGAAGCCCACTTGATCATGGTGGATAAGCTTTTTGATGTGCTGCTGGATTCGGTTTGCCAGTATTTTATTGAGGATTTTTGCATCAATGTTCATCAAGGATATTGGTCTAAAATTCTCTTGTTTGGTTGTGTCTCTGCCCGGCTTTGGTATCAGGATGATGCTGGCCTCATAAAATGAGTTAGGGAGGATTCCCTCTTTTTCTATTGATTGGAATAGTTTCAGAAGGAATGGTACCAGTTCCTCCTTGTACCTCTGGTAGAATTCGGCTGTGAATCCATCTGGTCCTGGACTCTTTTTGGTTGGTAAGCTATTGATTATTGCCACAATTTCAGCTCCTGTTATTGGTCTATTCAGAGATTCAACTTCTTCCTGGTTTAGTCTTGGGAGAGTGTATGTGTCTAGGAATTTATCCATTTCTTCTAGATTTTCTAGTTTATTTGTGTAGAGGTGTTTGTAGTATTCTCTGATGGTAGTTTGTATTTCTGTGGGATCGGTGGTGATATCCCCTTTATCATTTTTTATTGCATCTATTTGATTCTTCTCTCTTTTCTTCTTTATTGGTCTTGCTAGTGGTCTATCCATTTTTTTGATCCTTTCAAAAAACGCGCTCCTGGATTCATTAATTTTTTGAAGGGTTTTTTGTGTCTCTATCTCCTTCAGTTCTGCTCCGATTTTAGTTATTTCTTGCCTTCTGCTAGCTTTTGAATGTGTTTGCTCTTGCTTTTCTAGTTCTTTTAATTGTGATGTTAGGGTGTCAATTTTGGATCTTTCCTGCTTTCTCTTGTGGCCATTTAGTGCTATAAATTTCCCTCTACACACTGCTTTGAATGCATCCCAGAGATTCTGGTATGTTGTGTCTTTGTTCTCATTGGTTTCAAAGAACATCTTTATTTCTGCCTTCATTTCGTTATGTACCCAGTAGTCATTCAGGAGCAGGTTGTTCAGTTTCCATGTAGTTGAGCAGTTTTGAGTGAGATTCTTAATCCTGAGTTCTAGTTTGATTGCACTGTGGTCTGAGAGATAGTTTGTTATAATTTCTGTTCTTTTACATTTGCTGAGGAGAGCTTTACTTCCAAGTATGTGGTCAATTTTGGAATAGGTGTGGTGTGGTGCTGAAAAAAATGTATATTCTGTTGATTTGGGGTGGAGAGTTCTGCAGATGTCTATTAGGTCCGCTTGGTGCAGAGCTGAGTTCAATTCCTGGGTATCCTTGTTGACTTTCTGTCTCGTTGATCTGTCTAATGTTGACAGTGGGGTGTTAAAGTCTCCCATTATTAATGTGTGGGAGTCTAAGTCTCTTTGTAGGTCACACAGGACTTGCTTTATGAATCTGGGTGCTCCTGTATTGGGTGCATATATGTTTAGGATAGTTAGCTCTTCTTGTTGAATTGATCCCTTTACCATTATGTAATGGCCTTCTTTGTCTCTTTTGATCTTTGTTGGTTTAAAGTCTGTCTTATCAGAGACTAGGATTGCAACCCCTGCCTTTTTTTGTTTTCCATTTGCTTGGTAGATCTTCCTCCATCCTTTTATTTTGAGCCTATGTGTGTCTCTGCACGTGAGATGGGTTTCCTGAATACAGCACACTGATGGGTCTTGACTCTTTATCCAATTTGCTAGGCTGTGTCTTTTAATTGGAGCATTTAGTCCATTTACATTTAAAGTTAATATTGTTATGTGTGAATTTGATCCTGTCATTATGATGTTAGCTGGTGATTTTGCTCGTTAGTTGATGCAGTTTCTTCCTAGTCTCGATGATCTTTACATTTTGGCATGATTTTGCAGCGGCTGGTACCAGTTGTTCCTTTCCATGTTTAGTGCTTCCTTCAGGAGCTCTTGTAAGGCAGGCCTGGTGGTGATAAAATCTCTCAGCATTTGCTTGTCTGAAAAGGATTTTATTTCTCCTTCACTTATGAAGCTTAGTTTGGCTGAATATGAAATTCTGGGTTGAAAATTCTTTTCTTTAATAATGTTGAATATTGGCCTCCACTCTCTTCTGGCTTTTAGGATTTCTGCTGAGAGATCCACTGCTCATCTGATGGGCTTCCCTTTGTGGGTTACCCGACCTTTGTCTCTGGCCGCCCTTAACATTTTTTCCTTCATTTCAACCTTGGTGAATCTGACAATTATGTGTCTTGAAGTTGCTCTTCTTGAGGAGTATCTTTGTGGTGTTCTCTGTATTTCCTGAATCTGAATGTTGGCCTGCCTTGCTATATTGGGGAAGTTCTCCTGGATAATATCCTGCAGAGTGTTTTCCAACTTGGTTCCATTCTCCCCGTCACTTTCAGTTACACCAATCAGACGTAGATTTGGTCTTTTCACATAGTCCCATATTTCTTGGAGGCTTTGCTCATTTCTTTTTATTCTTTTTTCTCTAAACTCCCCTTCTCGCTTCATTTCATTCATTTCATCTTCCATCACCGATACCCTTTCTTTCAGTTGATCGCATCGGCTCCTGAGGCTTCTGCATTCTTCATGTAGTTCTCGAGCCTTGGCTTTCAGCTCCATCAGCTCCTTTAAGCACTCCTCTGTATTGGTTAATCTAGTTATACATTCTTCTGAATTTTTTTTAAAGTTTTCAACTTCTTTGCCTTTGGTTTGAATTTCCTCCCATAGCTCGGAGTAATTTGATCGTCTGAAGCCTTCTTCTCTCAGCTCGTCAAAGTCATTCTCCATCCAGCTTTGTTCCGTTGCTGGTGAGGAACTGTGTTCCTTTGGAGGAGGAGAGGCGCTCTGCTTTTTAGAGTTTTCAGTTTTTCTGCTCTGTTTTTTCCCCATCTTTGTGGTTTTATCTACTTTTGGTCTTTGATAATGGTGATGTACAGATGGGGTTTTGGCGTGGATGTCCTTTCTGTTTGTTAGTTTTCCTTTTAACAGACAGGACCCTCAGCTGCAGGTCTGTTGGAGTACCTGGCCGTGTGAGGTGTCAGTCTGCCCCTGCTGGGGGGTGCCTCCCAGTTAGGCTGCTTGGGGGTCAGGGGTCAGGGACTCACTTGAAGAGGCAGTCTGCCCGTTCTCAGATCTCCAGCTGCGTGCTGGGAGAACCACAGCTCTCTTCAAAGCTGTCAGACAGGGACATTTAAGTCTGCAGAGGTTACTGCTGTCTTTTTGTTTGTCTGTGCCCTGCCCCCAGAGGTGGAGCCTACAGAGGCAAGCAGGCCTCCTTGAGCTGTGGTGGGCTCCACCCAGTTCGAGCTTCCCAGCTGCTTTGTTTACCTAAGCAAGCCTGGGCAATGGCGGGCACCCCTTCCGCAGCCTTGCTGCCGCCTTGCAGTTCTATCTCAGACTGCCGTGCTAGCAATCAGCTAGACTCTGTGGGCACAGGACCCTCCGAGCCAGGTGCCGGATATAATCTCCTGGTGTGCTATTTTCCAAGCCCGTCGGAAAGCGCAGTATTCAGGTGGGAGTGACCAGATCTTCCGGGTGCCGTCTGTCACCCCTTTCCTTGCCTAGGAAAGGGAACTCCCTGACCCCTTGCGCTTCCCGAGTGAGGCAATGCCTCACCCTGCTTCGGCTCACACACGGTGCGCGCACCCACTGACCTGCGCCCACTGTCTGGCACTCCCTAGTGAGATGAACCCGGTACCTCAGATGGAAATGATGAAATCACCCGTTTTCTGTGTCGCTCAGGCTGGGAGCTGTAGACTGGAGCTGTTCTGATTTGGCCATCTTGGCTCTGAGAGAGGTGTGTTTTCAAAAGACCTTTATTCCATTCTACTTTTCTTGAAGACAGAGGACCGTAAGGGATATAAAGTTTTCACTGAATACTAAGAGCCTGAAAAACTGCTTGGCTGATTTGACTAATAAAGGCTTGTCTGTTATCAGACTGTATTGAGGTGGGAAGGCTAAACTGAGGAATTATGTGTGACAGAAGGGAAGAAATGCCTGCGGTGGCCTTCTCAGACCCTGTAGGAAAGGCCTCTACCTATCCAGTGAAAATATCTACCTAGACTAAGAGGTATTTTAGTTATCTGACTCAGGGCATGTTGAGTAAAGCTAATTTGCCAGTCCTGGGTGGGCTTGGTGTGTAGGGAAGGGAGGGGGCCTGAATAATCCCTAGGAGTAGTAGAATAGCAGATGGAACACTGAGAAGTTATTTCCTTGAGGATAGATTTCCACGATGGAAAGGAAATGAGAGTTCTAAGAGGCGGGCTAGTGGCTTATACTATAGCATAACCTGCCTTTGCTGGTGTGTGGCAATTAGGCCTGGTGGAACCACCATCAGTAAATCAAGTGTGATCAGGGTGAGGAACAGGAAAGAAGGAAATTTGGGGAAATGGGGTGAATGTCAGGTGGATCAGAGAGATACAGTCATGGGGGTCAGGTGTGGTATCAGGAATAATGTGGGAGGCCGGATTGAAGTCTGGGCCAGGAACAACGGTAATTGTGGGAGACTCAACAAAGAGTGAGTATAGCTGAAGGAGCCGGGAAGCAGAAAGTATATGCATTAGGTATGAGGAAGAAAATAGATTTTGGAAGTTATGAGAACTGTAAAGAGTGAGTTGAGCATAGTTTGTGATTTTCAGGGCCTCTAAAAGTATTAGGGCAGCAGGAGCGGCTGCATGGAGACATGATGGCCAGCCTAAAACAGTAAGGTCAAGTTGTTTGGACAAAAAGCCTACAGGACGCAAACCTGGTCCTTATGTACGAATTCCGACTGCACAGCCCTGCACTTCTGCTGTGTGTAATGAAAAGGGTTGGGATGAGTCAGGGAGTGCTAGAGTGGGGGCAGTTTCTAAAGCTGTCTTCAAGGAATGGAAAGAGGAGTGGGGAAAAGATTTAGGATCTGTGGGGTCAGCTAGGTTTCCTTTTGTGAGTTTATATAATGGTTTTGTTAGGATGGCAAAACCAGGTATCCAAAGGCGAAAGTATCCAACCATGCCCAGGAAGGAAAGGAGTTGTTGTTTTGTAGAAGGGGTTGGGGTTTGAGAGATCAGTCGGAAATGATTGGCAGGGAGAGCACTTGTGTTTTTATGAGAATTATGCTGAGATAGGTAACAGATGAGGAAGAAATTTGGGCTTGATTGAAGTAATGGGGGCTGTCTGTGAAGCTTTGCGGCAGTACAGCCTAGGTAACTTGCTGAGCTTGATGGGTGTCAGGGTCAGTCCAAGTGAAAGTGAAGAGAGGCTGGGATTAAGGGTGCAAAGGAATAGTAAAGAAAGCATGTTTGAGATCTAGAACAGAATAATGGGTTGTAGAGGCAGGTATTGAGGATAGGAGAGTATATGGGTTTGGCAGCACGGGGTGGATAGGCAAAACAATTTTGTTGATAAGGTGCAGATCCTGAACTAACTTGTAAGGCTTGTCTGGTTTTAGGACAGGTAAAATGGGGGAATTGTAAGGAGAGTTTTTAGGCTTTAAAAGGCCATGCTGTAGCAGGCAAGTGATAACAGGCTTTAATCTTTTTAAAGCATGCTGCGGGATGGGATATTGGCGTTGAGTGGGGTAAGGGTGATTAGGTTTTAATGAGATGGTAAGGGGTGCATGATGGGTCACCAAGGAGGGAGTAGAGGTATCTTATACTTGTGGGTTAAGGTGGGGGGATACAAGAGGAGGACGCAAAGGAGGCTTTGGATTGGGAAGAAGGGCGGCAATGAGATATAGCTGTAGTCCAGGAATAGTCAGGGAAGCAGATAATTTAGTTAAAGTGTCTCAGCCTGATAAAGGAACTGGGCAGGTGGGGATAACTAAAAAGGAGTGCTTAAAAGAGTATGGTCTAAGTTGGCACCAGAGTTGGGGAGTTTTCAGAGGTTTAGAAGCCTGGCTGTCAATACCCACAACAGTTATGGAGGCAAGGGAAACAGGCCCTTGAAAAGAAGGTAATGTGGAGTGGGTAGCCTCCATATTGATTAAGAAGGGGACGGGCTTACCTTCCACTGTGAGAGTTACCCGAAGCTCGGTGTCCGTGATTGTCTAGGGGGCTTCCGAGGTGATCGGGCAGTGTCAGTCTTCAGCTGCTAACCCGAGAAGATCTGGGAAGGAGTCAGTCAGAGAGCCTCGGGCCAGAGTTCCAGGGGCTCTGGGAGTGGCTGCCAGGTGAGTTGAACAGTCCGATTTTCAGTGGGGTCCCACACAGATGGGACACGGCTTAGGAGGAATCCCGGGCTGCGGGCATTCTTTGACCCAGTGGCCAGATTTCCAGCATGTGTAGCAAGCTTCTGTGGGAGGAGGTTCTGGAGGAGCCTGGCTGCTGCGGTTCAGGCGTTTGGAAGTTCTTGTGTGCTGGAGATGTGCCTGGGGTTTGTCTCACAGTGGAGGCAAGGAATTGCAACTTTTTTCTATTATTGTACACCTTGAAGGCGAGGTTAATTAAATCCTGTTGTGGGGTTTGAGGGCCGGAATTTAATTTTTGGAGTTTTATTTAATGTCTGGAGCAGATTGGGTAATAAAATGTATTTTGAGAATAAGACGGCCTTTTGACCTTTTAGGGTCTAGGGCTGTAAAGCGTCTCAGGGTTGCTGCCAAACACGTCATGAACTGGGCTGGATTTTTATATTTGATGAAAAAGAGCCTAAATGCTATCTGATTTGGGATAAAGAAAAAGGAGCATTATCGTTGACTATGCCTTTGGCTCCAGCCACCTTTTTAAGAGTAAATTGCTGGGCAGGTGGGGGAGGGCTAGTCATGGAACGAAACTGTAAGCCGGACCAGGTGTGAGGAGGGGAGGTGATGAAAAGATTATAGGGTGGAGGAGCAGAGGCTGAGGAAGAATTGGGACCTAGCTCGGCCTGGCGAGGAGCAGCCTGGGGAGGAAGGGAGAGGTCAGATGGATCTGTAGAAAAGGAAGATTAGAAAGACTCAGCGACGCTTGGGGTTGGGACTGAGGGGACAGGTGGGAGGGAAAGAAGGAAGATTTGGGACGAGTTGCATTGGGCACAGAGACTAGGAAGGGACTGATGTGTAAAAGAATGCCTGGACGTCAGGCACCTCAGACCGTTTGCTTATTTTACGACAAGAATTATTTAGATCTTGCAGGATGGAAAAATTCAAAGTGCCATTTTCTGGCTATTTGGAACTACTGTCGAGTTTGTATTGGGGTCAAGCAGCATTGCAGAAGAAAATAAGGCATTTAGGTTTTAGGTCAGGTGTGAGTTGAAGAGGTTTTAAGTTTTTGAGAGCACAGGCTAAGGGAGAAGAAGGAGGAATGGAAAGTGGAAGCTTACCCATAGTGAAGGAGGGAAGCCCAGAGAAAAGAGTAGAGACATGGAAAAGGGGTGGGGGGTTCTTGCCCTCCCGAAAAGCAGAGAAGGGGTTGGGGCATGGACATAAGGGATTGGGGCACAGAGATAAGAGGTCAGGGTGCAGAAATAAGCGATTGGGGCACAGAGATAAGAGGTCAGGGTGCGGAAATAAGCGATTGGGGGGTTCTTGCCCCCTAGGAAAGCGGGACTTGCCGCTAAGCGTGAAGGAGAAGGGGTTGAGGGGTACTTGCCCCTCTCCCAGAAAAGCAGAGAAGGGGTAGAGACAAGGAGAGAAGGGGTTGGGGTACTTGCCCTTTCCCCAGAAAAGGAGGACTTGCCGCTAAGGGTGAAGGACCAAGGCAGGTGTCCCTGTGTGGTCTGACACCCTTGAAACGTGGGTGTATAATCAGAGAGGTGTCCCTGCAATGATTAAACACCAAGGGAAGGCTGCCTTCCCAGTCCATGACCGGCGCTGGAGTTTTGGGTCCACGGATAAAACGTGTCTCCTTTGTCTCTCCCGGAAAATGAAAGGAATTGAAATTAAGAGAAGTGAGAGATTGAAGAGTGGAAAGGAGAAAGTGGTTGAGGGACAGTGAGAGAGTTTGGAGAAGAGAGTAAGAAGAGGCCGCTTACCTGATTTAAAATTGGTGAGATGTTCCTTGGGGTGGTCAGTCTGAGGACCTGAGGTTGTAGGTGGATCTTTCTAACGGAGCAAAGAACAGGAGGACAGGGGATTTCGGCACCAAATTTCATGCGCGTCCGTGTGAAGAGACCACCAAACAGGCTTTGTGTGAGCAACATGGCTGTTTATTTCACCTGGGTGCAGGCGGACTGAGTCCGAAAAGAGAGTCAGTGAAGGGAGATAGGGGTGGGGCCGTTTTATAGGATTTGGGTAGGTAAAGGAAAATTACAGTCAAAGGGGGTTTGTTCTCTGGCGGGCAGGAGTGGGGGTCGCAAGGTGCTCAGTGGGGGTGCTTTTTGAGCCAGGATGAGCTAGGAAAAGGACTTTCACAAGGTAATGTCATCACTTAAGGCAAGGACTGGCCATTTACACTTCTTTTGTGGTGGAATGTCATCAGTTAAGGTGGGGCAGGGCATATTCACTTCTTTTGTGATTCTTCAGTTACTTCAGGCCATCTGGCGTATACCTGCAAGTCACAGGGGATGCGATGGCTTGGCTTGGGCTCAGAGGCCTGACAGTACCTATATGCAACAAGGCCTATATGGGAATTCTTACTTCCAGAGTATGATAACAGCAGTATTTGCAAAGACCAGTTATGTTAGGAGATAGAATTTATTAAAGGCTTATGCTGAGCTGGGCACTATGATGTTTATTCTCCATGTGTTAACATGTTTAATCCTCACAACGACACTATAACTTAGCACATTTTACAGATTGAGAACCAAGTCACAAATAAGTAACTTACGGATCTCACACATTTTATATGTATCATAGTCAAGATTTTATTTGAAGAAGAAAGATAACAGATGACTCTACTAATATACTGAAAAATAAGCCAAACACAGTTTATCATACAATTAAGAAAATATATTAGAACAGTAAATACTAAGAGAAACTAGAGACAGTATTTAGCAAGTGTAGGGTAAAAGCAGATTTTGAGTTAGTCTAGTCAAACTTATGGTTCCTACTTCTGTAGTTTCTTTGCAATGGATCCGTTATGGTTCTAAAACAAACTCTTGAAACTCCCACATTTATGTCTCCAGCCAGGATTTCTTTCCTAAACTTCAGAGGCGTGTATCCAAATGCTACCCCAGTGTCTCCATGTGTAGCAATATCAGATTTAATATCTCAATCAGAACAGGCAATTTCCCCTTCCACTGTCTTGCTTATCTCAGTAAAATACAACTCAGTCTTTCTAATTGCTCAAACTTGAAGTAATATTTGAGCCTCCTCTCTGTTCTACATTCCTTATTTCGTCAGTTGTATTCCTGTCTTCTGGAGTCCCTAAAATAGCCAAAAAAGTTTTTCAGATCTGGACCCTGTTACCTCTCACTCTTTGACCATGATTTTTTACCCTCTCTGATTCCGCACAAATACAGTGGCTCTTTGTTGTTTATTCAATACTCAAGTAAACATCCATTCTAGGATGTCTACACTTCTTTCTCTCTGTGCTTGGAGAACATTTCTCTTGTAAAAGTTCCACTCGCTTTCTTCCATCACATTTTGCACAATGTTACATTTTCATGGAAACTTACTGTGAATAAGGTGCTGACAATTGTACTGCTTAATGCATGACTCTTTCCATATCTTTAATTTTCTCTATAGAAATTATCACAAGCTGCCCTGCAGTAGGTTTAAGGTAATTGTTTGTTTATCTGATGGTTTTTTGTTCTTTCTTTACACCTAGAAAAATGTAGGCGCCATGAAGGCAAATAATAATGTTCAGTTTTTCTATTGAAATATGTACCTTTATAGTTCCAAGTCTCCCTCTAACTGTGACTTTAGCAAAGTCTACAAGTTGTGACACGTAACATCTTGATTATCACTCAGTCTAAATATTTCCTGGCATAGAACATGGTCAATTTTGGCAAATGTTTTAGGTGCCCTAGAGGGAAATAGATATTCTATAGGTTATGCAGTTTTTAATGCAATGTGCTCCATAAATAAGGTTTATGATTTTTAAAAACCATAAAGTTAAAAGACTCATGTAAATACTGATACTACATAATATTTATCTGTTTTTTTCTTTTTTGCCTTTTACATTTTGAATCTATACTGTAAAGCAAATGGGAATTTAAACTGAAGGTTATTACATTTTAATGATACATTGAACACTTATTACTAAAACTAGAGACAAAGAAATCCTTTGTCTCTAGTCTTGCTTATTGTCTTAAAGTCTATGTAGCCAGAAGTCAATATAGCTACACAAGCTTTCTTTTGTTTAGTGTTTGTGTGATATAACTCTTTCCAGTCTTTTATTTTCAATATTTTGTATCATTATAGGTTTCCTGTGCACAGCATATAATAGGCTCATTAAAATGAAAATAGACAAAATTTGATGTAACTACTAATATGTTTGGGTTGAAATTAATCATTTTAAATTTATTCTGCCTGTTATATGTTTCATTCTTTCTTTTTTCTTGTCTTCTTTCAGGTAAGATGCTCTTTATGCCTTTCTTCTTCACTTACTTGTCAGCTTTAGTTATTTATGGATTATTTGAGGTTGTTTATTACACTAGGACTTACAACCTGATTTTTTAACTATAAATTAAAGCTTTTAACATTTCACACAAAATACTTTCATGTAAACTCTAAGAAGATGAAAAGAATGGGTCTCAATAATCAATACAGCAAATTTCTCCTTCTCTGCTAGTAGTGAAGGCAAACATTACTTTCATATTAAGATTCAGATTTTTATCATTTTCATGAAGCATCTGGTTGAAAAGTATTGTGACCTATGTGCTTCTTAGAATTAAATTTTCTTTAAGAATTTTCTAATAATAAAATTAATTTGAGAATATTAGTTCATCCCCAGCAAAAAACTTTACTTATATATTTCTAGTCTCTAAAATATTTTAAATACAAATATGACAAATGTCACCCTAGTGAATCTTTCTTTTTTCTTTCCCATTTAGATAAATATGTACTCAAAGCAGGTGGCTCAATCCACTTATCAGCATTTGGCATACCAGGTAAGCAATGAGAAATTTTGAGGGTTATTGAATAGAATAGGGCAATTTTCATTCTGGCACTTAGGGAATTAGCTATGTAATTGTCATTAATTTTAATGGGAATACTGTGCATAATCTGTAAAAATATAATGTATCTTTTTTGGAAATTTTTATAATGGATCAGCACAAAATTGTATAGCACAGGTGTTTAATTGGTGATGGATATAATATCAGGGATTAATTCATTAGGATCAAAGAATAAAAAATCAGTTACTTGCAAAGCTAGGAACTTCTGGAATACAAAATAGTTGTGTCACATTTGTCACAGATTTGAAATTTGTTACTGAGAGAATCAGAGATGACTATCAAGTAAAACTAATCTGCATATTATTCAGTGGGTTGGGTGTAGATATGTCTATTTTTTACTTAGCAATTATTTGGGGAAACACTCAAAAATGTCCATTGTCAGTATTTTGGCACATGTATGATTGATTCAATTTCCATGCTAATTAATTTTAATTTCATTTAACCTTATAGAGCCAAAAAAGCCCTCTCAAATTTCAATTTCAGATATTTCAGAGCAAAACCTTTCTAACCATTATGTCAAAAATAAAATATTCCTGATATACCTAGGGACATTCTTCAGGGAAACTGAAAGAACTGCTGCTTTTTTATGGTGTTCAGGGAAATAGCAGGGTCATTATTTTGTTACATGACTTAAAAAGGCTAAGAAACCAGAGTGGCCTAACAGGTTGTATCTCTTTAGCCATCTTTATTCAGTGATTTTCCTCTCATTTCTAGTCAAAGGAATTATGTAGACATCAGTATGATATGTGATATTACATCCTAGCTACTCTAGATAGAAACTTTTAATTGTGTTATTTTACAACAGAGTAATCAGCTGTATCATAGTGAATGTATTTCTTATTCTCTCATATGGCAAGTAGAATAGAAACTTTAATTTGAGAATTTAGATGATATTGCATTGTTTATTTTCACATTTGTCTCGGCAGTTACACCTGAATTAAAAACACAAAAATAATCATAAACAACCATTTAAAATAATCATTTGGATATTACACAATGTACATTGGGAATGTGGAATTCCAATTTGTGTTTCAAGCTAACCTTGTCATTAATTCAAGTACCTATTTTCCACTTTAAAATATTTGATGGGTATGCACTCTGTGGTTAAACAATCTCTATAGTCCTGCAGATTTTCTCTACGGATGCAAATCTCCCTGACAAAAGACAGTCTTTTCAGGACTACTTCTGTTTTCAGGCCCTCTGAGAAGCATCTCAAAATAGTCAAACAAATATATTAGGACATAAAATATTTTGGTTTCCTTTATTCTATCCCCCTTGAAAATTTCTTTCAGAAAGTTTTACATTTTTAAAGCCCACTTGATACCTTCAGAAAGATTTGAGTTAGAGGTTGCGAGATAACAGACACAAAGGAGGGAAAAACAAATTGAGATAAGTAGAAAAGAACAAATTTAAATATGTTGACCCATATCTTCTTGAATCAGTCTCTCATCCCAGGAATGGATCAGTTTGATTAAACAGTAGTGTCCCATTCCAGGAGGCAGCATTCCAGATGGGCTCTCAGAGCTAGGCTTCTGTGCATAATGAGGGCACACAGAGCTTTAATAAGAGGCATATCATATCTTTGGACACAGAAGAAAAACAAAGGCTAATGTCTAGAGTAGTCTGTAAGCTAGTTTTTCTAGAGGGTCTAAAGCTTCTTCAAATTACAGTGAAATCTAACCAGATTTTTCTGGATTGTGGTTTAAATAAGGTGTTCAAGTGAACTTTCTAAGTAGTTCATACACACATCAGAAGTCATGAAGATTGTTTATATATAAGTTGCTGTGTTGATTTTTCTCCAAAGGTTACATTAAATTTTCTAGCTTCAGTTTGGAGATCTTCAAGAAAAGCACAGTTGTAATTTCCAGTGATTCCAAGTGAGAAAAATGTGAGAAATTTTTGAAAACTTTAGTTTTGAGACTATTAGTCAGGAAAGAATTCAGAATTTGGCCCAGATTTTAGACAAATAGCAAAAACTCAAAAACAATAGACAGTGCTAGAATCTAATAACAAGTGCATTATAGTTTGTTTGTCTGAAGTACAACTTTTCTCTCTTTTGTTCCCTATTTCTACCAAGAAGTAATTGTAAGATCAACTTATTTACAAGAAAAGTTTTAGTCTTATTATAAATTGGTCTGATTATTTGCATAAAGTGCAACATGAATAGCGCTTAGCCACATAGGATCTTTTAAACTTGGCTTTGCTGGAATATTTTCATAAAGAATCTCATATAAACTTTTTGCCATTTTTATTTTATTTTTATATATTTAGGGTATACTAGTACAGTTTTGTTACATGGATATATTGCACGGTAGTAAAGTCTGAGCTTTTAGTGCACCTATCACTCCAGTAGTGAACATTGTACCCAATAGGTATGTTTTCAATCCTTACTCCTCTCCCATCTTTCCCTCTTTTGGAGTCTCCAATGTCTATTATTCCTTTCTGTATGCCCATGCTTACCCGTTGCTTAGCCCCCACTTCTGAGCAAGAACAAGTGATATTTGACTTTCTGTTTCCTGGTTATTTAACTTAGGATAATGGCCTCCAGCTTCATCCATGTTGCTGCAAAAGACATGAGTTCATTATTTTTTATGGCTGTGTGGTACTTAGTGGTATATGTATACCATATTTTCTTTATCCAATCATCCATCGATAAACAGGTTGATTCCATGACTTTGCTCTTATAAGTAGTGCTGTAATAAAACATACAAATTCAGAAGCAACCTTAAATCCAACCATATTAATAATAACTTAAATATGAATACATTAAACACTTCAAAAAGAAGTCAGAGGCTTTCAGACTGGATAAAAAATAAGGCTCCAACTATAAGTTGTCTATCAGTCACACACTTAAGATCCAAAGAAGCAAATGGTTCATAGCAGAGATGAAAACAAGATGCCGTGCAACAGTAATTGTAAGAGAACTTGTGTGGCTATAACAATATCAGAAAAAATATACTTTAAAATATAAATGTTAATACAGTTAAAGAGGACTACGTTATATTAATAAAAGAGTCAAAGGTTAATACAGTTAAAGAGGATTATGCTATATTAATAAAAAAGTCAATGTATCAGGTAGATATAACCAGTAAAAACACATATGCACCTAATAATAATGCATCAAATTATATAAAGCAGAAACTGACAGAAATAAAGAAAAAGATAATTCCGTGGTAATACTTCAATACATCGGTTTCAGTAACGAATAAAATAAGTGGGCAGAGGATCAACCAAAAAACTGTAAATTTGAATAATATCAGAATAGTAAATCTGACATCTATAGAATACTCCAGTCAAAAACAGCAAAATAGGTATTCTTCTCAACCTCACATAGAAGATTCTTCAGGTAGTTCAATGTGCTAGAGGACAAAAAAAGTATCAGTAAATTTAAAATGATTGAGATCATGCAAAGTATGTCCTCTGGCCAAAATGGAATTAAATTAGTAATCAAGAACAGAAAGAAACAGGAAATACACAAATATGTAAAAATTAAACAACAAACTCCTAAACAACTAATGGATTAAAGAAGAAATCACATGCAAAAAACCTAGAAAACATTTTGAGCTGAATAAAAATGAAAATACAGCATATCAAAATTTACGGAATGCATCTAAAGCAGTGCTTAGAGGTCATTTATAGTTATAAACTCTTATATTAGAAAAAAACAAAGATCTCAAATCTATAACCTAATCTTTCACCTTAAGAAACTACAGGCCGGACTCGGTGGCTCATGCCTGTAATCCTAGCACTTTGGGAGGCAGAGGTGGGTGGATCACGAGGTCAGGAGTTCAAGACCAGCCTGGCCAACATCGTTGAAACCCCGTCTCTAATAAAAATACAAAAGTTAGCCTGGCATGGTGGCAGTGAGCTGAGATCATGCCACTGCACTCCAGCCTGGGAAAAAGAGCCAGACTCTGTCTCAAAAAAAAAAAAAAAATTAAAAAAAAAAAACAGAAACTACAAAAAGAAGAGCAAGAGATAGCCAAAAAAGTTAAGGTAAAAAATATACCATATTATGGTTAATTTTATGCATCAACTTGAGTAGGCAACATGATGTCGAGATATTTGTTCAAATATTATTCTGCATGTGTCTATGAATGTGTTTTTGGATGAGATGAATAGTTGAATTGATAGGCTGAGTAAAACAGTATGTCCTCCCTAATATTGGTGGCCCTCATCTTCTCAATGTGAAGCCCTCATTTGGACAAAATGGCTGTATTTCCCATAAATAGGAGGCAATTCCTTCTACCTGATTGCTTGGGGCTGAAACACTGGTCTCTTCTAGGCTTCAGACTCAAATCAAAACTTCAGCATCCCTTGGGTCTCAAATCTGTCTGGTTTTGGGCTACAGCTTACACCATTGTTTCTGCTGGTTCTCAGGTCTTCAGATTTGGAATAGAACTAAACACTGGCATTTCTGGGCCTTCAGTTTCTCAACTGAAGATCTTGAGACTTCTCAGCCTCCTTAATCACATAAGCCAATTTCTGATAATAAATTTCTTCACACACACACACACACATATCCACACACCCAAACACACACTCCTTATTGGTTCTCTGGAGAGCCCTAATTCAGATTTTGGCACTGAGAAGTGGAATGTTGCCATAACAAAAATGGAAACCTGTGGAAGCAGCCTTGGAAATGGGTAATGGGTGAAGGCTGAAAGAGTTTGGAGGTCCATGTTAGAAATATGAATTTTGAGTTAGAAATATGAATCCTTGTTAAAAATGTATAGCAAAGAACTCGGTTGGACTTTGTTCTAGTGTTTTTTGAAAGGTAGAAATGGCTAGCAATGAAATCAGTTATTTAGCTGAGGAGATTTTTTCAGCAGTGTATTGAAAGAATGGCTCGGTTCTTTCTGACTTCATATAGGAAAATATAAATGGAGAGACATGAACTGAAGAAATGATTGCTAAGAAAAAAATAAATCAGAACTTAAAGTGTTGGTAAATACTCAGGCTAATTTTATGGTGGGGGAAAAAAAAGAAAGCATATTTTGAAGAGAACACCAAAAGTGTGACTGGACTATCACTCAGTCAAGAACTAATGGGGTTTTATATCAGCAGAAACACTGTCAGTTTAAACTGAAGTGGATGGAAATGGGACAATATGAACAAAGGTTGTCAGACTTCTGGAATTTGAAGGACAGGGTGATGGAGTTATTTAGCTACAAACGTGAATATTTTTTAAGTAGAAGGAAAAGTGTCCCCATGGGCAATTCGGAGATTATCAGGGCCACCACCTTGGTTTCAAGAGGCCAGACAGCCTCTATCTGAAACTTTGGGGTTTTGACTGCTTTACAGAGCCTTGGGTATGGGACACTGGTCTGCCAGAGCTGCATGGGTGTGACTCCTACCTTGTTTCATGGAGGGGACACTGCCATCCCTGTCATGGGGGTGACACTGGCCTTGAAGGGCAGAGCATCAAACCAGAGAAAATTATATTTGATCTTTCAGATCTAATGGAATTTGCCTTGCTAGGTTTCTGACTTTCTTGGGACCTGTCACCTCTTTCTGCCTTCTGATTTATTCCATTTGGAATGGGAACGTCCATTCTAGGTCTGTCCACCATTGTATTTTAGAAGCACATAACTCTGGTTTCACAGTTTCACAGCTGGAGAGGAATTCTGCCTCAAGATGAATTGTACCTCAAATCTCTCAAATGTCTAATTGAGGTGTTATTTTGATGAAACTTTGGACTTTAGAGTTGCTATAGAGTTAGTTAAGCCTTTTGAGCTGTTGGAATATTTGCATATAATAACGCAATTTTGGGGGTGCTAATGCTGGAATTCACTGTACTGAATTGTTTCTGCTCAATAATATTCTATGTTGAAGCCCTAAATCTCACAGTACTGTATTACAGATGGGCCTTTAATGAAGTAATTAAGGTTAAATGAGGTTATAAATGTGGGGTCCTAATCTTATAGTACTGGTGGCTTTATTTATTTTATTTTTATTTTTATTTATTTATTTACTTGAGACAGAGTCTTGCTCTGTCACCCAGGCTGGAGTGTAGTGGCACAATCTCGCTCACTGCAATCGCAACCTCCCACGTTCAAGCAATTCTCATGACTCAGCCTCTCACATAGCTGGGATTACAGGCGTGCAACACCATGCTTGGCTAATTTTTGTATTTTTTGTAGAAACGGGGTTTCACCACGTTGGCCAGGCTGGTCTCAAACTCATGGCCTCAAGTGTTCCATCCACTTTGGGGCTCACAAAGTGCTGGGATTACAGGTGTGAGCCACTGTGCCCAGCCTTGATGGCTTTATAAGAAAATGTAAAGAGGGAGAACTTTCTCTTCATGTGCATGCATTGAGAAAAAACCTTGGGGGCACACAGAGTAGCGAGAAAAGGACTAAGCCAGGGAGTGAGCTCTCAACAGAACCTAAGCTTGCTGGCTCTCTGATCTCAGACTTCTATCCTCCAAAATTGTGAAAACCAAATTTTTGTTGTTTAAGCTGCTCAAAGTATTTTTTTCTATGACAGCTCAAGTCATACCACATTTGATGTCATTCCCCTTTTTTTTTGCTCACAGCAATCTGTTGGAATCAGGATTGTCTGTTCAAATTTCAGCCTATTTTGTGAACCTAGACAATCAAAAATTTTTTATTAATCTTAGACCAGCTTAACTCCTGGAGGCAACTCCTAGATTCAATTACTGAAAGTTCTTTTGATTTCTAGTATTACATGAACACAAAGTTCTGTCTATTTGTGTTGCTTTGGAATTCATGAAAGAAGTTTACTCCAGTGTTTCTCTGATAGCTTTCCCATGTCAAAATTGATTCAGCTGTCTTGATGAGTTGATATTTTCCTTTTTGTTAATTTAATAGGGCATGTAAAATATATAGCCTTGAATAATGTGTCACCAATGTTGGCCTGCTTTGACTTTTTTTCTTCTGGGCAAACTATTGGTACAGTAATACTATCTGTGGGACACTTTTATCCTTAAAACTCAAGTTACTGCAATATGTCCTTTCGTGTGGTTTTACAGAATCATTTCTTTCCCCTTTGGCTCTTGACTTCATTAGAAAAGCAATGGCTATGCCACCTCTTCAAGTAAAATTTCTTAAATTTAGGCATATACGACCTCTTCTTTATGAGAATACATGAAAATATAGAGAAGAAGTAGGATATAAAGCCTACTTGCTTAGCTTTAAAGAAAGATTGAGATGGTAATTACAGAACATCAACACAGAGTTAATGTGAATAACTCAGATGTAATTAGAATAGAAAAGCTACAACAAGTTGAAAGGCATTTGAATGTGATACTATGTAAATTATAAATTCTATAATGAGAGGTGAATTTCATTCTTTGTCATCTTTGCTTCTAATAAAGATAAGTCATACTAATAACTCACTAAAAACCTTCTTGACTTATGAAAATATATCTGGGACTTTTTAAGGTCTAAAAATGCAGAAGAGGTGCAACCCCGTCTCTACTAAAAAAAAAATACAAAAATTAGCTGGGCACGGTGGCGGGTGCCTGTAATCCCAGCTACTCAGGAGGCTGAGGCAGGAGAACTGCTTGAACCTAGGAGGTGGAGGTTGCAGTGAGCCGAGATCGCACCACTGCACTCCAGCTTGGGTGACAGAGCAAAACTCCATCTTGGAAATAATAATAATAATAATGCCCTATTATTATCACATAAATAGATTAGTTTTTGTAATTTTTTGTACAGTACAGTGTCTCTTTTCCTTGCTCTACTGTAAGTCATATGATTGGGGATGTGTCAGGTATTTTACTTTTGTGATCCATGTCAAGCATAGTACCTGGTACGTAGTAAGTATTTAATGGCTTAATACGTAACTACTAAAATTACTAAACATAGTTCATTGATTGCCAATGTTTCTGAATGTCAGATACCCTTAGCTTTTTCTGCATCAAAATGATCGTGTCATGTCTCTGTTCAAATATCTGTATTTTGTAAAAATAGTCAAGGATTTAGAAGGGATACTCAAAATCAAATGCTGTTAAGCAAAAGAGATGATGTTTAATGTTGTTTTTCAAATAGCCAAACACTGAAGTAAGTATTTGCTGGTAAATGAAGATATTTTCAACAAAAATAAATATTTTGCTTGGGCTCCATCTTTTTTGTTAGAAGTCATCCAATATTTTACATTAATCTTTATCATTCTAATCCCAATAATGTTTAAGATAGTTTTGTTCATCACTAACACAATATTTTTTCAAATGCAAATAATAATTTAAAACATTTGTATTTTACTTGTACAAGATCTTAGATTTACAGTGAACTTTTTTTAATACTGGCAACTCAATGATTGCAGAAAGTACTTTATTATTATAATCATTTTTATTTTGCATGGTAAATTTGTCTCTGGGGTATTATGGAACTTGAGATGAAAATGTAATTTTGAAACATGGGATTAAAAACTACTGAGAAGGCTGGGTGCGGTGGCTCTCGCCTGTAGTCCCAGAACTTTGGGAGGCCGAGGGGGGGTGGATCACGAGGTCAGGAGATCGAGACCATCCTGTCTAACAAAGTGAAACCCCGTCTCTACTGAAAGTACAAAAAATTTAGCCGAGCGTGGTGGTGGGCGCTTGTAGTCCCAGCTACTCTGTAGGTTGAGGCAGGAGAGTGGCGTGAAGCCAGGAGGCGGAGCTTGCAGTGAGCCGAGATCGCATCACTGCACTCCAGCCTGGGTGACAGAGCGAGACTCCGTCTCAAAAAAAAAAAAAACAAAAAAAAAACAAAAAAACTACTGAGAAAAGAAATGTATTGAAATATAATCTGTTCTTGATGTATCTTATCTTGCCACAATAGAAAATAATATATGACTATACATCTGTTAAGGAATAACATGAATTTCATCAACCCACATTTATTCATTTTGTAATCATATCTTCCATCATAATATTTATCTTTACTACTGTGTTTCCAAATTCCTAATGTTAAACTTTAATGCTATGTTTATTTGAGTATGTGCAAATATTATTGTTTAACATGCATCCTAGAAATACTTTCAGGAGTAGGTAATAGAAATGAGAAAAAGAGCAAAAGTTACCTGACTGAGCTCTTTGAGTAGCTCATCGCAAAAACGGCAATTACTTTTGCACCAACCTAATACAATTTTTGGACTTTACAATGGCCAAAAACAATTGCATTCAGTAGAAACCATATTTGGAATTTTGAATTTTGATATTTTCTCAGGTTAATGATATATGGTATGATATGTTGTTGCAATGCCGGTCAGCAGCATTGAGCCTCAGCTCCCAGGGTAAACAACTGATACTATACAGTATGCTGTGTTACCAGCATTTTTTAGACATGATTTCACCCAATTGTAGGCTAATGTAAGTGTTCTGAGTACATTTAAGGTAGGCTAGGCTAAGATGTAACATTTGGTGGATTAGGTGTATTAAATACATTTTCAACTTACAATGGGTTTATTGGAACATAGCCACACCGTAAGTTGAGGAGTATCTATAGTTCAATATTTCAAAGACTATAAAGCAAAACATATAGATCATCATACTCTTAAGCTATTATATTATTTAACAAGATCACTTTTCATAACTGTTTAAAGTTTTATGAGTATTATTTCAGAAACTATATAATTTCCTTTTAAATAATTTGCTTCAATGTGGATAATTTACACTAATAAAACTTCCTATGTCTTTATGTAACTAATGCTTAGACTTCCCAAGGGTATATTTACTATAAACAGAAATGATTTAATTCAAATATAACTCTTTAAAAACCAACAGTGAAAAAATAACTAGGTGTTGAATTATATGTTTTAAGAGATGGCATAATTCTGAGAAATATTTATATGCTCAACAGATATTTACTAAGTATTTACTATTATAGTACAATCTATATATACATTAAGTAGATTTCCTTTACTTCTGGGGCTCACAGTCTAGCCAGGACAAAAGTAGTAGAAGAGTGATAATAAGAATATGAAATATATAACAATGAAAACATTTCTAAAAGCAGGAAGATAATGCAGGAAAAAAGTCTTTAATCTTAATGCGGAAGTTAGGGTGGGCTCATGGAGAAAGTGATATTTAAGCTGAATCCTGGACATAGAGAACATTACAATCACTGCATTTATGTATTATTTTTTAAGTTATAGAAGACTATTTTGGTGAAACCAGGTTTGAGATGGGGGAGAAGAAATATTAAAGTGAAGATTTTTTATTAATTTATTCAACATTTGAAATGTTCACATGATATCTAGATAGAATCATAAAATAAGCAGTTTTATACTGAAGTCTGCAGCTCAAAGTTGAGTTCATTGCTGTATATATGAAATTGGTAGATGTAGACAGTATTGGAATAACTTAGGGAGAGACCAGGGGTTGGCATGTGTAGGGAGACCCCCTGAAACTATGGTTACAGAATAAAAGATGAAATGTTCCTGATTATTTTAAATACAAAATTGAATGCAGGATTTTGTAAAGACAATGCCAGGTTGGACTGCCAGAACGAGCCAACAGCATGTGATGTGCTTCCCCGTGCAGAGAGCCAATGAATGGATGTGCAGTCAGGGAGGTTTCACATCACCAAGATTCCTATCCCAGAAAAGCAGGTGTTCATAAGTCTGGGAATGGAATGCGACCCTTGTGGAGAGCCTATAAACGGACGCAATGGGGGGGCGCCTGTTCATATGGATAAGATAGGGCTATAAACGCCCTCATCTTGCCACGGCTCTTCTAGGCCTCTTTAGGGTTAAGGCATACTCCCTTCTGAGAATTTCTGGTCTAACCAGTTGTCTAGCTTCACGTCCCGTTTCTATGGATTGTTTGTAACCACCTTTTGCTGCAACTGTTACTGCTGATTAATATCTTGCTAATCATAGGTTATGAAAAGATTGTGTTTCTGTTTCAAGGCTCTGATAGAAATTACTGACACACTATATTGTAAATTCTTATCTTTGTATACTGTACTTCTGCACACAAATGTTATATTAAAGAATTACTTCATCCCCATGTGACCATCTCACCTCATAATCAAATGACCCTAAATCCCTCAGTAACCTACCCCTGCCCTCACTAAACTTAATAATAAATGCTGGTATATCCAGTGCATTGTTGGCACCGTGGGACCAGAAGGCAGTGACCCCCGCTGGACCCAGCTTTCACTATCTTGTGCGTGTCTATTATTTCTCAACCTGCCTATCCACCTGGAAATAAAGAGAGAGCCCCATTGCATTGTGGGCTGCTGGCCAGATCCCACAGGCATGCTTCCTATAAAAGACCAGGTAGTGAATCTTTAAGAATTTGGAGGCCACACAGTTTCTATCACAGCTACTCAACTTGGCCATTATAGTATCGTGATAGCCAAATATGATATATACATGAGTAGGCGTGGCTGTATTCCATAATATTTTATTTATAAAAGCAGCCAGGGAACAAATTTAGGTCATGGTTCATAGTTCGCTGTATCTAGTTTAGACAAAAACTGTCTTAGGGAATGTAACGACCAGTCCTTATTTCTTGTCACGCGGACTATCATTCTACCTTTCTAACTTGCCTGCCTTTAACTGCATGTCCCTATAATTTATTATTGGTGTCAGCAAATTATGACTCATGCACCAAATCTGCATGCTACCCCTCTGGATCTTGGCAAGGATATAGTAAAATTTTAAGATGAGAACAATGGTACAGAATAGAAAAATAAATGTAGCAGGAGATGGCAGGTGCAGTGGCTCACGCCTGTAATCCCAGCACTTTGGGAGGCCGAGGCGGGCTGATCACGAGGTCAGGAGATTGAGACCATCCTGGCTAACACAGTGAAACCCTGTCTCCACTAAAAAATACAACAAATTAGCCAGGCGTGGTGGCGGGTGCCTATAGTCCCAGCTACTCGGGAGGCTAAGCCAGAAGAATAGCGTGAACCCGGGAGGCGGAGCTTGTGGTGAGCCAAGATCATGCCACTGCACTCCAGCCTGGGCGACAGAGGGAGATTCCATCTCAAAAAAAAAAAAATGTAGAGGGAGACATTGGAATATAAAAGATAAAATATATAATATCTAGATAAAACTCTTCAGCGGTAGAATATGTATTGAGGCTCTTTGGTTGCATAAGAGAAAATCCAAATTAAATTAATTCAAGAAAAGTCTTTAAAAGTTTACAAAAGAAATAAATTAGCTCACAATTTTTAATTATAAGAGGAATTAAGATTTTTCTAAGTTAAGAAAATGGAAGAATGATGCTAAAAACTATTAGAAATGCCAGCAAATAAATAAGACTAAACTATCAATAGGAGAAGGATCTGGTAGAGAAGAACTAACACAGTTCCACATTGGCTGATATCCAGCCCATATGCACTGGAATGACTGTAGTCATTTAAAAAATATTAAAATGTGTTTATACTCTTGGTAAAAGAAAAAAAAATACCGCTTCTCTCAGTCCTTAACAATCTTTTGCTGCTACAGTCTCCCTGCATCCTCTATAGGTATCTACCAACTGTTTTGATCCAAATAGAGGGGTACTGCAAAATAGGGAGCCTCTAGACCCAACTCCAGCTCTAACTTCTCTACCACTTTGACACATCCACATGATGTATTGAAATTTTTAAAGTGTGGAATACCATCCCAGAGTCCACTAAGATGAGAAGCAATAACACTTGAGTCTAAACATAGTTATGAACCAAGGGCCTTGTCCAGCTCACCTGGGGAATCCAGGCTTCTAAAATAAAGGGCACGTATTAAGGTAAGCTGAAAAGGAAAATAAACCAATTTAGATAGCCATCGGAAATGTAGGGATCATAAAGGTTAGAGGAAAGTCAAATAAGAAGTAGTGTAACAGGTATGTGGGAAGATAAAGACAACTTTTCAGGTTAGGAACAGAGACCACCAAATCTTTGCTGACTTGTAAGGGGTTACTGAATAATATGACACTTAAGAAAAAAGGAGGCTAAATTAGATCTATTGAATGCTTTTTACCTATGCAAATAATCATTGTGTTTTTTCCCTTCTCCATGAATTTAATGGTCCCCACATGCAAATACCCAAGCTAGAGCTCAAAATAGAGTCCATGGCTGTATATATGAAATTAATAAACACAGAAAGTATGGAAAAACATACGGAGAGGTAAGGGGTTGATTAGCTTCCTGTTAAAATTACAAAAAGGCACTCCTGGGGGAATCAAAAACCAAAAAGCACCCTCATCTAGAAAAACTAGAAAAATGTCTCACTTCCTCTAAGCTGGATCCCCATGTCAGAAACTTGTAGAGCAGAGGATGGCCTAGATTTCAAGGTTTGCCCGCCGCCACCACTGTCTTAAGACCTTCACTGAGCATTTTCACATAGGATGCAGCCTACACCTTCATACATAGATTCTGATGAACCCATTTTAATCAGAGCATTCAGTGTTTGACTGAGTTGATTATGTTGGTTGGCTGCCTTGGCACAGAAAAATCCAGACTGTATAATAATGTTATATCTAAGCAGCTGTGGAGAAGCCCAGATAGAATCCACAACCTTTATATATCCCATATTTTGCTAAGCATACAAAATTGCTCACATTTGTCCTTATTTGTTCTGTGCTCTTCTTAGTTTTACCCTCAAAATAAATATGTAAATCTGAATTCATAGGCTTCAAGGTTTGGACAGAGCAGTTTCAAAACTTATTTTAAAGTTAAAAATCCTACACTATATCATGTCTTCCCCACAGTAAGTCTGAATTCCTATGAAAACTGTTTTTCCTACATTCATATATACTGCTTACATAAATCTCCTGGGCCATAATCATACTCCATAATCACACATACATGATATATGACATATCAAGCAAAACGTATTATTTATAAGTTTAGATTGCCTGAGATTACAGCTATCATAGACACTCATTGCAATCTTAAAATTATTAGAAAAAAATCCATTTTATTCTTCAAATAGGCCCATGGCCTGGCTTTTGAAATGCATTCTTAGATCTCCAAGACCCTGAGAAGGTACAATACATCAACCGGGTAATGACTCTCTGGTGATGTTCTATTTCAATACATCACTGTTACAATGATTCTTTAATAATATACTGCCAAGTGTCACACATCAAGAGAGCACTTTGGAGCACAGAAGTCACTTTATTTATTTATTAGTGCTATCTCTCATTGCGGAGTTATTAGCTGACACTCAGGATCATGAACCCAGAAAGGAGATTCTGCATCATTGTCATTATGATAAGCAATATCCTCAATGCCAAGTTGAAAATAACTGAGCTTACCTTGTGTATCCTCAAAGAGTAATTGTGATCATTTTGACAGGGAGGCAAACATTGTTTATGTTGTCAAATAGCAAGTAGAAATTTTAATATAAATTTTAATAATTTGTAGTTGTTACTTATAACTCTATTCAAAGTGTGTAATAATGTGAGACTCATGGTACATCTGATTATAAATCATAACTTATTTCTTAATGATTTAGGTTAACATATTTATTTGATTTAGAAAATTTTATTTGCTGTATAAATGCCCGATTTTTGTTAACTTGCTGCAACTCTCTATTCTACCTAAAAAATATCACACATCTTTTCTCCTGAGTTTGAAAATGCAAAGCGTAGGAAGGAAAATTGTTCTTGAAAAAAACTCATTTAATTGATTTATATTATTTGCACAATAGCTTTTCTCTATTAAGTTATTTCTTTGCATTATTTTTATATCGCTCTTTCCAAAGGATCAACTTTTATTTTATAGAATCTTATAAAATCCTGCCTTAGGGAGGGAAGGAGAAACTACCGTATTTCAATATTTTCCTGAAAGTTATCTTATGATTTTTTTTTTGCTCCCTTCTAAAACCAAATAATTATTTCTATTTTACCAAAAATCTCTTGGAGGATATATATACTCTCAGAAATGATTGCAAAAAATTAATTATTCATGTAAAGAATATTGATTCTTGAAGAGCAAGAAACATTGATTGTTCTGAGAATAGAACTCTCCATGATACCATGTCTATCCTGAAATAAAGTAATTCTGTATCAAAATTATGATAATGGAATTAATAACAATGTAGGGGAAATTATATTTTAATCATTTCATATTGATAGGTTTAAAGTAACAATTTCTCCATTGAGATTCAGTATCACTTTGAAAGGTCTTGCTCAAATTAATATTTTTATATTATAAATATATAATATATATCATATAATGTTTATATATGATATTGAAAAGCACCTAATGAAATAGTCACCTTCTTGCTTTCCCCTTCACTACCCAACAGAAATGTTCTTGGGGCTCTTATATGGTTTTGCTGTGTCTGAACCCAAATCTCATTTTGAATTTTCACGTGTTATGGGAGGGACCCAGTGGGAGGTAATTGAGTCATGGGAGCAAGTCTTTCCCATGCTGTTCTCATGATAGTGAATAAGTCTCATGAGATCTGATGGTTTTATAAAGAAGAGTTTCCCTGCACAAGTTATCTCATTCTTTGCCGGCTGCCATCCATGTAAGACGTGACTTGCTCCTCCTTGCCTTCCACCATGGTTGTGAGGCCTCCCCAGCCATGTGGAACTATAAGTCCATTAAACCGCTTTCTTTTGTAAATTGACCAGTCTTGGGTATGTCTTTATCAGCAGCATGAAAACAGACTAATACAGGCTCCATGAAGTTTTCCCAGGTTTTAAAATTTTGTGTATTCACACAGTGAATACTCTGGATAACATGGACCATTATGTTATGGAATCATACTATATATATATATATGCCATTTCCCAGATGTGTGTGCTTATAATCAAACTTAGGCTAACTCAGGGCCAGAAAACATTGTACACTGTTCAAACAAAGTTTTTTATTAGTTCAGAAAGCAAACATAAAATTGTTGACAGCCTATTCAAAACAATAGAATGAGATAAAGTAAAATGGAAAATACTTAACTTCCTATCTTAAAAAAAAGCAGACAAATATATGAAACAAATGATTTTCATACATTAGAAAACAAATGGCAGAGGAATATGATTCCTAGGAAAAAACAGGAAAACAAATAAAGTGAGCTAGGAAAAAACAGAAAAACAAATAAAGTGAGCCTGAAGAAAGCACTAGCTGATTGTCTAAAGGCAGTTTCCAGAATAAAGCAGAAAAAAGTGTAACCCAAAAAGAAACAAAAATTTTTGAGTTGAGGAGATTGATTTCCAAGATTCCAAAGGGCAGAGATGCTAGAATTTGTGGCATAGAATACAGAAGTTAAGGGAGTTGCATAGAAGAGCTTCAGGTATCTGTGTGAATATACTCCTAGGCTGAGTATTGACGTGTGTGGATCAAAGGTAACTGCTCTAGGCCGGAGGGGGGGAAAAAACACAGCAAAAAATAGGCAGAGCAATTTCTGCAGTAAACAGGAAAGTGGAAATATTGTATATTTCCACCAGTCAGAGGGGAAGAAATTCCACCTAGGGAAGCATCCGATAAAGACCTCAAAAGAACATTGCCTAAGTAGCCTGATGTATACCCACCCTAACAAGGCTTCATAAAACAAGCCTCACAGATATCTAACTACTTCCAAGTCACTTAGCTCTGTGCCAGAACAAAATCTAACTCTCTCTAAAGGAACACAACACAATCAAGGAGATAACAGTGTAAATTTTACAATGTGTCTCTTTGAAAATTCAGCTTTTGCCAATGTGATAGCAGTAAGAGGTGGGGATTTTAATGGATGATTAGGCCATGAGGACTCAGTAATCATGAATGGAATTAGCTGCTATTATAAAGGGGCTTAATGGAGAGAGCTCTTTTGTTCTTTCACTCTTCTGCTATACAAGGACACAGAATCCCTTCCCTCAGGAGGATACAGCATTCAAAGTGCCATCTTGCAAACAGAGACCAGACTTCACCAAAAAACAAACTTTCCAGTGCCTTGATCTTGAATTTTCCAGCCTCCAGAACTCTGAGAAAGTAAATTTTTATTCTTTAGATATTATCCAGTCTATGGTATTCTGCTATAGCAGCATAAATGAACTAAGACACATGTGAAGAAGCACGAGAATATGGCCAGTTATCAAAAGATGGCTAATAGAAACAGACACAACAATCATACAGAGGATAGGTTTAGCAAACAAAAGATTTAGAAAGCTAGTAGAATCATTATAAATATATTCTATTTGTTCAAGAAACATATATATCCTATACGTTCAAGAATACAGAGGATAACCTGAACACTATGATATGAAAAATAAATAGTTTCTGAAAACTGAAAATGCTGGAAATGAAAAATATTATATCTGAAAAAAATTTACTGGATAAGATTAAAGGGAGAATATATTCCCAAAGAAAAAAATATATATATAATTGAATACAGAAAAACAACGTATCTAAAATAAAGGACAAAAATGTTTTTAAAAGTTCAGCAGAGCATCCAGTGACATATGGAAAAATATTAGCAAACTAACACATATTCCTGGACTTTCATAAGAAGGGGATTACAAATATATTTTAAGAAATGTAAAACTAAATCCACAAGTACAATATGCTCAGTGATTGAGACACAAAATAAGTGTATAGAACTCTAGCAAAGAGCATCATAATCAAATTGCTGAGAATAAATGATAAACAGAAAACTTATTATCAGAAACAGAAAAAAGGACATGCAGAAGAACAATTATAAAAATGACAGCAAATTGGTTTCAGAAATCATACAAATTAGAAGATCTAAAATCTGCAAAGTTTAAATCTAAAATCACTGAATTTTTGAAAATTTTTGAAAAGCTCTAAAATCTCCAAATTTCTGAGAATTAAAAGGCATACTATTAAAAGAACATGGGTCAAAGGAGTAATTAAGGTGTATATTAGAAAATATGTTGAATAAAATGAAGGGAAAAGAAAAACGTATCAAACTGTATCCAGTGAGGCAAAAGCAATGCTTTAAGGGACATATATAGCAAAAAAATACTTATATTGAAAAATAATTAAGAATGAATTAGCTTTCCCTTAAAAACTGGAAAATAAGAGTGAGTTAGATTCAAAAAAAGTTGAAGAAAAAATAATAAACGTAGCCTATAAAATAATAAAATATAAAACAGAAAAACAATATATAAAATAAATGAAATCAAATGCTGGTTCTGTGAAAAGATCAAACAGTTTATAAACATATAATTCAAATGATCAAGAAGAAAGTGAGAAGATAAAATTACTGATGTCAGGAATGAAAACATGTCTTACAGAACTTAAAAATATAATGACAACATATTATGAATAACAGTATGACATTAAATTTGATGGCTTAAATGAAATGAGCTAATTCCTTGAAATGCATGTATTATCAAAGTTCATTTAAAAATAGTCTGAACAACCTTGTATCTACAAAGAAATTTATTTGCTGTTAAAAGTCTCACAAAGAAAATTTCAAAACACAATGGCTTTATATGCTAATTCTACTAAACATTTAAAAAATAAATAATGCAAATGAAGATATAGTAAATATCTAAGGAAGTGCTCTTATAAATTTTATACAAACTTTTCTGAAAAATTGAGTAGGAAACATTACCTAACTCATTATGAGACCCACTTTATTTTGACAGTAATACTAGGCAAAGCCATTAGAAGAAAACTAACTGTAAACTAATATCTCACATGAGCTTAGATAAACAAATAAGAATATTTTAAAACAGCAAATCTGCTAATAAATAAGATAATATATGAGTACCAAATAGTAACAGTAACTATCCTAGGAATGCAAAATTGGTTTAACATTGCAAATCAATCAATCCACTTCACAAGGCTTATTACCAAACTAAAAAAAAAACAAACCCATATGATCATCACAACATACACAGAAAACAGTCTGACAAAAGTTAATACAAATTTATAAGAACTCTCAACAAAATAATAATAGATAACTTTTTCAAACTAATAGCAGGCCTGTATTTTAAAAACTGCTAATTTTTTATAACTCATGATAATATAATTAAAGTTGAATACTGATTTCTTACCCCAAATATCAGAGTCAAGGCAACAATATCCACTTTCAGCACTTTTTTTTTTTTTTTTTTTTTTTGACACAGGGTCTCGTTCTGTCGCCCAGGCTGGAGTGCAGTGGCGGGATCTCGGCTCACTGCAACCTCCGCCTCCCGGGTTCACGCCATTCTCCTGCCTCAGGCTCCCGAGTAGCTGGGACTACAGGCGCCCGCCACCACGCTCAGCTAATTTTTTGTATTTTTAGTAGAGACGGGGTTTCACTGTGTTAGCCAGGATGGTCTGGATCTCCTGACCTCGTGATCTGCCTGCCTCGGCCTCCCAAAGTGCTGGGATTACAGGCGTGAGCCACCGAGCCCAGCCTCAGCACTTCTATTCATTATTGCATTGTAGGTCCTAGCCCATGCTATCTGCAAAAATTTTTTTAAAGTCATAACGGCAAAGTAAAACTTTATTTTTTTTAATAAGTTAGTTTATATAGGTAAGCCTAAGCATTTATAACATACTACTCGAACTAATAAATAAGTTTAGCAATGTCACAGGACTTAAGACTAATACATAAAATCAATTATATTTCTACTTGCTAGCAACAAAAATTAGAAATTAATATTTTAAAATACCTTTTAAAATGTCAAACAGCACCATATATTTTAGAATAAAATTAACAAAATAAGTGCAAGCATGCTAAATTGCAAACTACAAAATCTTTCTGAAAGAACTAAAAAAAATCTGTATGCAAAGATAAACTGCATTCAAAGACATGAAGATTCAATGTTGTAAAGATGTCAATTCCAACAAAGTGACTTGTAGATCCAAGACAATCCAAGTCAAAATCCCAGACATTTATTATTGCAGAAATTAACAACAGGAATCTAAAATTTCCATTGAATTTTAACTGTTCAGGAAAAGAGTCAAACTCTGTAAAATATTTTAAGATATTTATTCTGCGCCAAATATGAGTGACCATGGCCCATGACACAGCCCTCAGGAGGTCCTGAGAACATGTGTCAAAGGTGGTTGGGATACAGCTTGGTTTTATATATTATAGGAAGGCATGAGACATCAATCAAACACATTTAAGAAATACATTGGTTTGGTTCAGAAAGACGGGACAGCTCAAAGGATGGGGGCTTCCAGGCCATAGGTAAATTTAAACATGTTCTGGTTGACAATTGGTTGAGTTTATCTGAAGACCGGGGATCAATGGAAAGGAATGTTCAGGTTAAAATAAAGAAAGGTTTGTGGAGACTAAGTATTATTGTGCAGAGGAATCTCTGAGATAGCAGATTTCAGAGAGAGGGCAGGTTGTAAAATGTTTCATATCAGACCTAAAATGGTGCCTGGCTCTTAGTTGGTTATCTCCTGGGTCTGGAAAGGAAGGAAGGAAAAAAAGTGGAAAGGGGATATAGAATGTGGATTTTTCCCACAAGAGACTTTGGAGGGCAATTTCAAGGTATGGCAAGGAAATGTATTTTGGGGTAAAACATTTTGTTTTTCTTCCTTGTTATGCCAGAGTCAGCTTGGAAAGTAAGTCACGATATACAGGGTCAAATAAAACCCATCTGATGAGAATGTATGGTTTGTAGGTCATGACTCCCCAGACTCCTTAGACAGGAACTTGGGCAAGATAAAAAATCAGAGCTCAGTCCTCAGAACTAAACTAACCAGAACAATTTTGGATAGGAGTAACCAAGAGTAGGACGTGACTTAGTAAAAAAACAAAACAAACAAACAAAAAAACCCTACATTTTGGTTTTGACATAGGCTTAAATACACAGAGCAGTAGAAAAGAGAATCCAGAAATATACTCAAGTGTATATTTCTGTTGATATTATTGTTCAAGGTAATGCAAAGAGAAACAAATAATCAACAGATGGTTTTAGATCAATTGGAATACACTGAACCCCTCTCTTACTCTAGGAACAAAAAACTAACTAGAAATGTATAACAGACAGAAATGTAAGAACCAAAATAATAAAACTTCCAAAAAAGTGTAAGCGTTCTTAGATAGGCTACAAAATAAAGAATTTACCAGAAAAAAATTAATACATTGTATTTTGTTAAAATTTAAAACTTAGTTCTTAAAATGGCACTGTTAAGAAGAGTAAATGACAGCTGGGTGCAGTGGCTCATGCCTGTAATCCCAGCACTTTGGAAGGCTGAGCTGGGCAGATCACCTGAGGTCAGGAGTTCGAGACCAGCCTGGCCAAAATGGTGAAACCTCATCTCTACTAAAAATACAAAAAAATTAGCTGAGTGTGGTGGCACATGCCTGTAGTCCCAGCTACTCAGGAGGCTGAGGCAGGAGAATCGCTTGAACCCAGGAGGCAGAGGTTGCAGTGAGCTGAGATCATGCCATTGTACTCCAGCCTGGGTGACAAGAGCAAAACTCAGTCCCAAAAAATAAAAAATAAAAAAGAAGAGTAAATTACAAGCCACAAATGCAGATTATATTTGCAAGATATATATCTGGTAAAGAATTACTTTCAGAATATATATTTTTAAAGTCTCAATATTAAGAAGACACAAACCCAATAATAAAAATGAGTACATATTTGATTTCAAATTTTACCAAAGAACATTTACAAATATCAAGAAAACACAAGAAAATGTAAGTATCATTTCTCATGAAATTAAAGTCACACAGAATTTTTTATTCATCCACTAGAATGTCTAAAATTAAAAGGAAAATTCCCACAATACCAGGAACTGATAAGATAATAGAGAAAGGGGAACTCTCATGTTTTGGGTGGGGGAATGCATACTGATACAGCCACTTTGGCAACATATTGTATATTTTTGTAAAATTAATATACCATAGGATCCAGACCAAAAAAATATGTTCACACAAAGCTGTTTATGCGTATGTGCATAACAGCTTTATTCTTTACCATGAAAACTAAAAAGAATGTAAATATTCATCAACATGTGAATGGAGAAACAAATTGTCTTATACAATGGATTACTATTCAGCAAAAAGGAAACCCAAGAAAAAGAACAAAAAACAGACACAGTCAATAACGTGAATTAATCTTTATTAAGCTATGTGAAAGAAGCCCTATACAAACAACTACATATGTTGTGATTTAATTTATATTAAATTCTAAGAAAAGCAAACTACAAGGACAGAAAGCAGATCAGAGGTTGCCAGGAGATAAGAGCAAAATATAAAGCTGACTGCAGAAGGGCACAGCAGAATTGTTTTTGTGTTAATTAAAACATCTTATAATTATTTTGATATTTAAACAATATAAAGTTCAAACACATTGAATTGTATACTTAAAATTGGTGAGTTGTATTCTATGTAAATTATACCTCAGTGAAGCTTAAATAAAGCTTATTTTGTAAAATAACAGCACTTGTTTACATTTTGAATTAGTACAGTTCTTGAATCTTTATTAGACACTTAGATGTATCAATTTGTTATATTTTCCTACAAAGTAATATAACATATGCAATAGATCTTTTGTTTCTAAGACAAAATTTGGATTAGGTATTTATTTAATATATATTTTATTAACACTGACTTTTTAATAGCATCATATTAAGTGGAAAATACAGCTTTAGTGTTACTAAATCACATACCCTTAAAAGAGAAAATAAGTCGTTAAGGGGATTTTGGTTAAGTTTGAAGTCTGACTTATTTTTACCTAGCAACCAAAAGGTTACCATTATTAATTTTATGTTGCAGTCTCCTAGAATCCTGTAAAAAGAATAAAAGTACAATATTATGTAAGTCAAAAAAGAACAGAAATTAAAAGATTAAAAATCTAATGGATGATGAACATTTTAAAAATTCATGTCCAAAATCATGATTTATTTCCAATTAATTATCCCTCATGCTAAACTATTGTTAATTAGAATTTTACATGCTTTGGTGGTTTTGTTTGTGATTAATTTGTAAATGTATTTTGATTTTATAACTGAATAAACACTCTGCAAAAGGTGTTGAAAATTTATACATAGGACATTAATGTTGAAATAAATATAATTTGTCATTATTCAGGAAATAATATGATTTTATTTTGTTAAAATGACCCAAATATTGTTCAAGTTTGAGGAAAACTGGTGAATAGAAATAGGATTTTATATATATAATGTATATGTATATGTGTATAGTATATTTACACAATACTTTTCTCTCGACAAAAACAGGATTTTATATTATTTTCTCTTCAAAATTTACTATGTGAAGAGATACTTTTTCGGCATTGTTCTAAAATAGGTACTGTGACTTTGAGCAAGATCAATATGCCCAAGTTTATTGATGGTAAAATAAAAATTATGCTCGATTCCTCATGTTCACTGTTTTTCTCACTAGAAAATGATTTAAAGTGACAGAGAGTTGAAAGCACTGCATTTCTGTATCATGTTTTTGGAAAATATTTTCATGTCATGGATTCCATAGGGTATTCAGTGGAAAATATGAAAAAAAAAAGAAAAAAAATAACCAAGGGCAAAGAAAATAACCATATGCTTCCTGTAGCCTTTTTTATTGCTCTGTTTTATTTTGTATTCTTACATGATTGATTACCCTGAAGTGGTGATTATTATCATAGGTTTGCTAATAGGAGAGCTTTGAAAAGAAGAAAAGCAATTGTACAGGGATTTGCACTATTTACACATTGTTTAACTGATCCTCTTTGGAAAAAAACAAAATGTTGCCTAGCTGTTAGACAAAACAGGGTCTCCCTGTCATTGATATAATTTTTCTCTTTGTGAGAGGATCTGCAATGCATTAGAATTTCAAAATACTACATAACAACATCAGTTGAAAAGCTCCCATATAACACATCACGTATCACACACGCACATACACATGCTACTGCTGCTTTACCAAAATGAGTTCTTATTTCAAAGAAAACATTTTATAATGATTTAGTTTCCAAATGCTCGTAACAGTTTGTCATTTAGTATAGCTCATTTTAATATTTTGCTTTCTGGATGCATGTTGACTCCCCATATACCTGTAGTTAGCATGCAAAATTTATCCTTTATATTTTATCAATTGTTTATGAAGCTGACAGATTTATGTCAGCAACTGCTTTACTTAGAGATCTAACATTTCGAGCTCTCATAGTTTCTAGTTGAAATAGTATGGCATGCAGCCAAACAATCATAGACCATAATGTATTTAGCTTTTGTGAGTTGTACTAAAAATAAAGACAAAAATTACTTCCATCGTTGTTTCCATGATGATTATGATTACCTTATACACTTTCTGTATTTACTGTAATGACAAATAATGCCTTTCATAAAAAAAATTTTTCCAAAAATTTACCTTCCATTTAATTTTTGACCAATTAGTCAGAAGTTATATCATTTTTTCAAATAACTTTGAAGAGGATTTACAGAGACCCTTACAAAAGCACATCGCTTACCGCTTAGCATGGTGGACTGTGGTCAGATAATATTGATGAACTGCTGTCAGCTAGGAGTGTTGAGAGTTAGTTGATGGTTTAATTTGATGTGGAACAAAAGAAAGAAAGGGAGGAGTTGCTGTTTATTTGAGGAAAAGATGTCTAATATCAAAAAAGGGTGAGACAGGAAAAAATTTCTAGCATTAAATGATTTTCAAAAAAAAGAAAGGAACAAACACTCATCATTTGGAATCATCAATTATGTGCTAAAGATCACAGAAGCTATAATATGCTTCTACTAGGTCTACTGTTCTTTAATCTTCATAAGCTCAAAAGTTGGGCCTACATTTTTAATGTTTTTCTTATGAAAACTGTAAAAATACAAAACTAGTAAAAAGATAATGAGTATGAGTATATAAATCTTTCTTAAAATGAAGTCACAAAAACTTGCTCATGTAATTAACCATAATTTTAAACTAATACTGTATTTCAAGCAAGCTGAAATAAGAAAACAATAAAGGCTACAAAAACAGCACAAATCAGAATTAATAACTTAGAAATGAGATAAACAAAGACACGTTATTAAAAATTAGAACTGTCAGTACTCACAAGAGATAACAAGAAAAATTTCAATATTGAAAACAAAATAATAAAAGCATACCTACAGAAGATCACATAAACACCACATACAATTCTTATTAGAAACAGAAGTTGAAAGGAGGAAAATGAAAGTAAATTAGAAAGCTATTGAGAAAAAGATAAAAATAATTTTAGAGAAATAGATATATTTTAATATAGATAATTACTCATTAAAAAACTATTCTGTAAATTATAAATAAATAAGGAGAGATTAACATTCCTGGTTTGAAAATTTTGTGGAACTGGCACATTTCAGTTTGAGGAAACACCAAATACATCTTTTTCTGATCACTTTGGATTTAAGAAAGCATAAATTTATAAACAAATTTTAGCAGTTAACCTTTTCAAATATGGAAGAGATTTTGCTCAAAACATGGTGAACAATTAGTGTTAATTCAAAAATAATTCACTTCAGTAATGAGAAGCAAAATTGTGATTGAGGGGCAGTAAGAACCAAGAAAGTGGGAGCTGGGGACAAGAAACCACTAGAATTAGTATGGCCTAAAATAGAAAGCCCCTGTACATAAGGGCTAAGATTTTTTTATCTTAGCTTACTGTCTTCATTTACTTGCTATCTTACCCTTCTACCACAGGGACTGGTTTCACAGCCATTGTTCCTTTGGCCATTACCTAGTACTCCTAATTGCATTTCTTTTTTCACTGCTTCATAAAGATTCCCTAACTCTTCCCTAAAGAAAACATACAGTCCCTTTGAACCCTTCTTAGGCTGTGGTTTTTGTAAAAATGAATAATGGTAATAATGTAAAATTATAATGATAATTGCACAATTAGCCGAAGATATATAATGTTTTTATGTGATGACTAAGAAGTCAAAGGTCACCCACATAAGCCAAAAAGCAAGAGGTATATTTAAGTAATCCCAGCACTTTGGGAGGCCGAGGCAGGTGGATCACAAAGTCAGGAGATTGAGACCATCCTGGCTAACATGGTAAAACCCCGTCTCTACTAAAAATACAAAAAAAAAAAAAAAAAATTAGCCTGGCATGGTGGCAGGTGCCTGTAGTCCCAGCTAGTTGGGAGGCTGAGGCAGGAGAATGGCGTGAACCCAGGAGGCGGAGCTTGCAGTGAGCCGAAATCGTGCCACTGCACTCTAGCCTGGGCGACAGAGCGAGACTCCATCTCAATAAATAAATAAATAAATAATAATAGATATCTGAATGAAGATTCAGTTGCAACTGGAACTGCTTTCCATTTCTCTAGTTCTGCTTTGCTAGGATTTCATCCCAGTTCCTAGAGGAAAAGTCGTGGAAGTGATGAGTAGAGTTGTCCTAAAGCTGTGGGCAAGAACTGGTTAGGGATGTAGACATCGTGGAGCTGTATGGGAGGAATGATCCCAAATACACTTTACCTTTGCTACATTAATGTCACCATCCTGCCACTGTAGCTTTCGTGGTATGATAATCTAATCTCAAAGTAGGAAGCAGGTAAGAGTTTAGGTTAAGAGAGTAGTGAGCAAAAGAGAGCATAAAAGATATAATCTAAAGTAAATTTAAATAAAAAGGAATTTTACATTTCCTGAGTGTCTTCGTCTTCTTCTTCTTCTTTTTTTTTTTTTTTTTTTTTTGTCTTTTTGAGACAGGGTCTCACTCCAGTGCCCAGGATGAAGTGCAGTGGTGCAATCATGGCTCATTCCAGCCTCGAATTCCCAGATTTAAGTGATCCTCCCACCTCAGCCTCTCAAGTAGCTAGGATTACAAGCACACACCACCATACTCAGCTATTTTTTGTATTTGTTGTAGATGGGGTTTTGTCATGTTGCCCAGTCTGTTCTCGAACTCCTGGGCTGAAGTTATCCTCCCATCTTGGCCTCCCAAAGTGCTGGGATTACAGGTGTGAGCTGCCATGCCTTGTTGTCTTTTAAGCAGAGCCTTAGTCAAATGTTTGAGTTCAGGTAGTTTATTTGAGACTTCATCCAAAGAAGCAATAAAGAGAGAGCTGAGATAGTTATGGAGGAAAGAAAGATGTATTACTGAGAATACCATGGTAGGCCACAACTATGCTTTATGCAGGGCCTCTAAGAAATTTGCAAGATATCTCCCTGTATGATCCATCAAACTGATGGGAAGTTAAGAATTGCCCCTAGTTAATTGCCTCCCATTTACAATCTGTGCTTTTGCATATGCTGAGCCTCTATATGGCTTCCCCCAGAAAAGGCCCTGAGGCAGAAAAATGGGATATCAGGTGCAGAGCCATGATGGAGTGGGCCACTGTTAGTGACACCTAGAAGCATCTATCACAACTGTGGCCGAACAAGGAGATGAGCCAAGAGGATGTGACTCTAGCTAGGCTTGGCTTCCCTAAATATGGAATTGTCTGTAATTTGAATGCCAAAAGATTGTGAGGTAATAGAAATATAGCCCAATTTATTTGTTTATCTATTTAACCTATATTTATCAGGTACCTGTTATCTGTCAGACACTGTTGTTTGGAAATAACACAAGATGAGCAAGCTCCTATTTTCTTGGAGTTCATAATGCAATAGGCACAGTGGAGATGGATGACAGCAATCAAATCACAGTGGGATAAATGTCATAGTAAGGGCCATATAGGGTATAAATGAAACTCAGGAGGAATTGGCATGCACTGAAATGGGTGACACATGGTTGCTTGGAGAAATGATTTCTAAACTAAGCATGAAAATGTAGTTGGAATTACATAAGCAATCACAGAGTGGAATACTTTTCAGTAGGAAGAAAATAAAGCTTTCTAATTCCTACATGACCATTTATATAGGAGTGTTTTTATATTTTGTATCCAGCTTTGAAGTGGACAAGTACCAGTTTACTCCAGAGCTTAGTATGCATTAAATGCTTAATATGTGTTAACTTTTTTATCACCACATCGTCATCATCCTAGCATCATTGATATCTTGTGAGTTTCTCCATGGTTTTCTTAAAAAAAAAAAAAAAAAAGAAAGGCCCTGAAGAAGAAAATAGCAATAGCAACATTAGGTGCAGAGCCATGATGAAATGAGCCGCTTGTCAGTAAGACTCAGAAAGTCTCAGAAAACACCAGGACACCAGAATCCCGTTGCTGGTGGGATGTCCCAAGAAAATGGAGAGGTAAGAGTTAGCAGTCATAGAGATTGACAAGGGCCTAAGAACTCCGGGAAAATAATGCAATGAAATGCATCTGGTGACTTAGGTTTTCATAAGGAGATACTATAGGCCAGGCACAGTGGCTCATGCCTGTAATTTCAGCACTTTGGGAGGCCAAGGCAGGTGGATCACCTGAGGTCAGGAGTTCGAGACCAGCCCGGCCAACATGGTGAAACCCCTTCTCTACTAAAAATACAAAAATTAGCCAGGTGTGGTGGTGGGCGCCTGTAATCCCAGCTACTCAGGAGGCTGAGGCAGGAGAATTGCTTGAACCTGGGAGGTGGAGGTTGCAGTGAGCTGAGATTGCTCCACTGCACTCCAGCCTAGGCGATAGAAGATAAAGAAGATACTATAATATATGCAAATACATCATAAAAAACAGCCAAGAGTCCAGGGTTCATCATCAGGGAGGCTTTGTTTCAGTTGAGTCTCCTTTTATATCAGCTTTGTGATCTTAACAATAAAGCCTCTATATACTTCAATTTCTGAAACTGCAAGATGTTTCTATTACTTATATCCAGTTCACAAAATAGTTATAAGGGTTAAAAAATATCATTCAGGCACAGCATTTAACATAGTACCTGAGCCATCCTTAGTTGTAAATGAATGTTAGTTATTATTTCCTCTGTTTTTAAATACTCAAATGAGGTGAACACCCAAGCTTCTAAAAATATTTTGAAGGGTAGTATTTTTCTCTGGTATTATATAAGACTGACCCTCACTTCTAAAAGTTACAGTATTAATTATTTTTCCTGAAAATTGCTTTCAATAATTTTTATTCTCTTTTTTTTTTTCTTTTTTCTTTCTTTTTTTTTTTTGAGACAGGGTCTTGCTCTGTTGCCCAGGCTGGGGTGTTGGTGTGTTATCCTTACTCAATGCAACCTCAAACTCCTGGGCTGAAGCAATCCTCCCACTTCAGCCTTCCAAGCAGTTGGGACTACAGGCATGCCCCACCATGCCCAGCTAATTTATTTTTTATTTTTTGTAGAGACAGATTCTCACCATGTTGCCTAGGCTCGTCTAGAACTCCTGGGCTCAAACTGTCCTCCTACCTTGGCCTCCCAAAGTGCTGAGATTACAGTTGTGAGCCACCGTAGTTGGCCAATAATTCTTATTCTCTTCATGTTTGTTTGTTTAACTTATAAGCACTTTAGACATCCATAAAATTGAATTTGTTGTGAGCTTCTCAGACTGAAGCAATTCGTAGTGTGACAGAAGCAGGTACCTTCAGTTAGATTTGACCAAAGTTATACTCAAAGTGCTTGATCACTGGTCCTGAGTCAAGATTAGTCACCCACTCTAATCACATTGAGAATGACCTTCACGATTAAACATAGCATATATTGTGTATCTTCGTGCTAAAAGGCATGCCGGAAGCCAGGCAGCAAAATCAAATGATAATGCCAACTCTACTCTCTACCACCACTGTTGAGGGGCTAATTTTGTCATCAGTGTGTACATGCTTAGAGAGTAGGGTACAAAGGTGCTTATTAGTTAACGTAGACTATGCTAGCGCAGGACAGCCATTTAACTTTGATGTTACTCTGATATCAGAGAAAACAGTTTGGCCAATTCATTCATTGTGTACCACAGATTACTTTGATATTTATTTTCAAATAAAATTGCTCCTCATGTCCTACTTTCCAGTTCTGCTTTTAGCAAATCTTGCCTGAGCAGTCTCATCACAATAATTAAATAAGTTTACACAGCTCAATTTAGACGATGTCATTGTCCTGTTCAAACTCCTCTACAACTTCCTGAAATAAAATGCTTATCATTCAGGCTGGCGTAGTCCTTCACAATCTGACCATACCCAACCTGCCACTTTTCTTTTCTTGTCCCTCATATTATAATGAATATCTTGTATCTACACGTTGCACTGCCCTATGATTATTTCTCAAATATGTTATTTAATTTCACTTTTCCAACTTTCCACACACAGTTTCGTTCCAACGAAAACTTTGAACCTTTATTTTCTCTGTCTATAGACAGTCTGCTGATTTCTGCAAGCCTACCTGAAAGGTAACCTTCTCCACATAAGTTGTGCCGGCTGCTTTAGGCAAACAAACAAAAATAAACCTGCTTTTCCCTCAACACTGTGCCTATATCTTTTTATTATAGTACAAAACATTTGCCCAATATAACCGAATTTGGTGCATTTCAGTCTATGCATTTCATTTTATTGTAAAATGTTGATATTAAAGGCCATATCTGCTTGCTTTAGTGAGTACTAGTTCTGCAATTCAGCCTGGTGCTTTGCACATACTAGGCACTCCAGCAACAATAAAATGTTTGCTAAAATAGCTCATTTACAATAAAATGCTAATTCAGATTATCTTCAGCTGAATACATTTAAAATATTTACACATATTGAAAGGGATCATCTGTGATATAATTGTTTATTGGTGAATTCTTTCTGGCTTAAAGAGATTAGCAGCCCCTCCCCTGTCCAAGCAGGAAACTGATGATGCCAAAAGAAACTTTGCCCTCAGGACACTGGGATGATTGCAGAGACAGACCTTCATGGACTTTGGCCAGCAGAAGTTTCCTGGCTATTATTATCTTGAAACATCTAAAAACATAAATTTATGCTTTTATAAAAAGAGAGTTATTAAAAAATGTTTATAGACAATGTGTCTAAATGACCTTTTGTTAATTATGTGGGTTGCAGAAAAATACATTTTGTTCTGAATTTGATTTTACATCCCTCATATTCACTTTAGTCAATAGAAGTTTCTCTCACACACAAAAAAGGTCTTATTAATGAAGTGTCAGTAAAACCAATACTGTGTTGCTTAAAATAAGAAGAGAATATTCTTTCATTTCCTAACAAAAGTTATTATGAAATTTAGGCACCTGAGCTTTACCTAAAACGTAGGACAGAAAAAAATAATAAGAGCCTATTCAGATCAGAGGTTCCATTTCAGATTTTAAAATCTTTGTCTACCCAGATCATTTGTAATGTATCACAATAAGTTTGTTACTAATATCAAACTACTTAGGTTTACAAATGATATCTCTTTTAATAACAAGAAACACTATCACCAAATCATTTGTGTTGAATTTCAAGGGGAAAAATGCTGGTGTGTTTACACATAAAGAACTGTAAAACAGTCTTTACTTCTTCATAAGAAGTACTGAGAGATACAAGTCTTTTGAAATTATTTAATTCTTTTCAGGAGACTACTTATGTATGCACAATCAAATTACCAGAAAATTGTTGAATGTACACATTGTCGAGATAACTATTTTATATAGAATTAAAAATTTTTTTTGATTTTTAGAATAGTTCACACAATTGCCCCTCATAGTACAATGGGGTTATAACCTCATAAACACGTAATGAGTTGAAAATGTTGTTAAGTCAAAAATGCACTTAATACATCTAACCTACATCATAGCCTAGCACGGCCTACGTTAAACATGCTCAGAACACTTCACATTAGCCTACAGTTGGGCAACATTATCTAACACCAGCCTATTTTAAAATAAAGAGTTGACTAGCTCATGTAATTTATTGAATACTATGTTGAAAGTGAAAAACAATGGTTGTATAGGTACTCAAAGTATGCTTTCTAATGAATGCATATCACTTTCATACCATCATAAATTGAAAAATTGTTAGTCAGGAACTGTCTGTATAGTATTGAAAAGATGAACAATCATATATTACAAAATAATGTAAGTTTAAATAATACATAAAGGAATAAGTTATATATGCTAGAAATACTATATATGTATTTATACATATATATATTTAGAGACAGAGAGAGAGAAAGAAAGAGAGACCTGAATTAAATGAAATAGCACACTCAAGACATCTGGGATACTTTGGTCTGTGCCTACCCGTGGTCAAAATGAACAAACAACAACAAAAAACAAAATAAGAGAGAAGGAAGGAAGGAAAAGAAACACAGAGTATTTGTAACAATAAATTTTATCTCCAAGAAAATTATGACTACTTTGGGAAAATTTATTAATTCTATCCTTCCAAATGAGAGCTTTATGATGACTGGGATGATAAATATTCTATTTTTGTTTTTTTGCATGGCTAACACCAAATATAGTAGCAGATAATTAATAAACCATTGTCATAAATAAATAAATAACAAATTTTTCCTTTTATTGGCCCTCTATATTACACTTGCTTTGATCTTATTACACCTGGCCTAGCTAATCTACAATGTCAAGTTTGGATCCTGTCCTACCCAATATGTTCTTTAATTCCATGCTATAGATTGGACCAAGTATATATGTGGAAGGTTTCCACTTAGACTGGAGGGTAGACTTAAAACTACTTTCCTATAACTAGTCAATACATCTCCAAATATAGTAGATATTACCTCAGTTTGATTTTCCTCTGTTACTTAGTTTCTACTCTAAAACTAAAAATCTATATTTAATCATCAATTTCTGCTGATACTTAGATATAAACAATCTCACTAGTGATTTATATTTTCCATCACTATAGACTTTTTTGTTTCATTGAATTACATGATCATTTATCAAAAGTTCCATGTAAGAAAAATAATGCAAACAACATATTGTAACAAGTAGAATCAGGTACCTGCTTGCTACAGTGCATTGGCCATCATTTTTATAGTATTTTAAAACAGTTTTTAAAAATCATTAAGCATTTTGCATTGTTACTATTTAAAAATGCTTTAAAAATAAAATTAATTTTTCATACATCATAACTATATTCTAAGCATGATAGCATTTGTTAAAGAAAACCCAAAGAAATATTAGAAATAGCTTAACCTTTAAGGTTCTTGCAGTATATTGCATATAAAAGACTAATTTATGTGGCAAAATAAACAAACAACATGAAACAGAATACATTATTTGATACAACTGTCATAAAAATTCTAAAAGAATATGAAGATAAATAGACATTAATTAAAATAATCTTTCAGTGGGTTGTAAGTGTGAAATATGTACTGATTAATGAACTAAATAAAGTTATTAATATGTATGAGAAGCTGAGATTAAAATAGTAAGAGAAAAAAAGCATATATTACTGCCCTCCCTGGAGATTATTACTTAATGGAAGTGATAAATTTTAATAAAACACAATACAGATAAAGCCAAATTCACAACTACATTACATGTCAAAAGGACAGTGACCTTGTGCTATATTACAGCATATCAAAGGATTGTGACACAGTTAAGAATATCAAACAGGTTTTCAAAAAAAATGTGATGGTGTCGTACAGTTATCTGACTGACATCTTTGTCCAACCCACTTTCCCCTTTCTTTGCCTCTACAATCAAGACTTCTTTGGGAGTTAGATTTTCTTGAAACTAGACTTGATTGTCTAGCTGATAGTTTCAGTTAATGAACTGAGAAATGTTAGAGTTCCAGACTTAAACTGAAGTTAAATTGGCACAACCCATTCTTTTCTTTCTAACATCTATAACATAGATGTGATTCCTTATGCTACAACAGCTATTTTGCCTCCTCCTTGAGTTAAACATACACACATAAACACACATACTCTCTCTCTCACACACACACATATACAGATACACAGACACACATACGACATATCAGGGATGACAAAATGTAAAAAAAAAAAATCTAATTTTGAGTATATTGTTTACCCCCTGAATCAGTCCCAGATTGCCTACTTCCACATCTTCTTATGTGAGATTTTTTAATGGATCTATTGCATAAGGCACTATTAATTGAGTTGCTGTTATGCACAGTCTAAAACTTTGATTCACTGATCATACATTGATAATTGAGAAGATGGCTAAAGGTTGAGCAGAAGTCAGTTAAACTAATGGGGTGAAACTGAATACTCCCAGGAGGGGATATTTCTGCTTTAAAGCTTTTCCTAATAATTTATTGGCTTTCCAACAGCACCCCCAATCTTACTTAGAACATAGTAATTAATATGTATTAAAATAACTGTTTTTCTTAATTTTATAATTTTAGAAGATATTAATAAATTTGAAGCCTAAATTTGAAGTAGAATAATGAAACAAACTTTAAAAAACTACAAAAATTTTAGTGAATGCACTGTAGCAAGCACGTACATAGTTCTACCTATTACAGCATGTTATTTGCACAACTATGCAATATGTACTCAGGTCCTGAGGAAGGGGAAATAACAAGGCAAATTTGAGGAGCTGATACTCAGGAAAGATGAGAACAGAGAGTAAGAAGAAAACAATAATGTAAATTGACAGGTGAAATGGGTAGGTCGCAAACCAAGAAATTTCCTGAAAGCTGCACTAAAAGTTTGTTCTTCTTTGTGAGAAAAATGATAAATCAACAATATCTAAGACTAAATGTCTAAGGAATGACATTAGCAGATTTATATTTTATAAAGATTACTCAGGCAACATGGATAGAAAGTAAAAAGGGATCCAAAGGAGAAGAAGTAAAGATTCTATTCTATTCTGTGCTATCCTGTCCTGTCCTGTCGTATCCTATTCTAATGTTTGTGAGAATGATGACAGTAATTCCTTAGGCTGTAGTGGTAGAGACAGAGGAAACTACATGAAATTCGGAGATATTTTAAAGGTAAAACGGGTGGAATTTTGTGTAATACCGTGGGCCTAAGTTGTAAGAAGATGCAGTTATTAAGCATGATTCATGAATTTGTGGTTTGTGCAACTAGACATTTAGTGGTACTATTTACTGAACTAAAAAAAAGAACCCTAAAGTGGAAGAATGAGGAATAGATTACCAATTAGGGTTTGTACATGTTGGGTTTGCAATCCCAAAAAGATTTTCAAGTGGTGACCTCAGTAAGGCCGTTACGTATATTAATGACTTTTAGAGGAGAGGAGGAAAGGTCTGGACTAATAACATACATTTGAGGGTTGCCTGTGATTATATTACAATTAAATTATTTAAAGTGGAAGAGACAATGAGAAAGCATATGTTAAGAAAATAAGACTAATGACTGGGTATTAAAAAAATCCAATATTTAACATTTGGTCAAGAATGAGGAGGTTGCAAAAAATCCTGGTCAAAATCTAAATAAAGATTGATCAAGAGATATTAGAGAAATAAGGAACTCTGTATTTTCATTAAAATCTAAGCACAATTACAATTTCAAAATTTAATTATCCTTATTTCAAAATAAGGAAAATGAAGATCACCAACTTTAAATTCAAGTTTGGGTTAGATATAATGTTTTAGAGTTATTATTTGAACACAGTATTTTTTATTATTTCAAAATCAGTGTTATTCCTGTTACAGGTATATGAACATTAAAAAAAAACCTTGAAAATAATATGGAATGTGTAGTATCAGATAGTATTTTTTTTCATTTTTTCATCACATCTTTTATTTTTTGGTAGGATATTATTACAAACACAAGTGAGATCACGCATTCTATCAGATTCATTTTTCTTTCTCCTCAGAGAAAATTACCATTCTGAAATTGTGAGTTATCCTTCCCGTTCACACTTCTTTTCCAAATTCATTCATTTAAATTGACAGATAAAATTCTATGTATGTATTATATGTAACCTAATGTCTTGGAGCATATATGCATTATGGATAGGTTAAATCCAGCTAATTAACATATGAATCACTTTACATAGTTATCATTTTTGTGATAGTAAGACAGTATTTACTCTTCTAGCATTTTCTTTCTTTCTTTTTTTTTTTTTTTTTTTTTTGGTATTTTTTCTTCCAGCATTTTCAAGAAGGCAATATATCATTAGTCTCCGTAGTCACCATATTGAACAACAGGTCTGTTAAAATCATTTCTTCTATCTAACTGTAATTTTATATCCTTTAACCAGTATCTCCCCAGCTTTTCCCCCTACACACACACCAGCTGCCCCAGCTTCTGGTAACCACCATTCTACTCTTTATATGAGATAAACTTTTTAAAGATTTCATGTATGAGTGAGATCCTGTGGTATTTGTCTTTCTGTGCCTGGCTTATTTCACTTAGCATAGTGTCCTCCAGATTCATCCATGATAGGATCTCCTTCCTTTTTAAGACTGAATAGCATTCCCTTGTGTATATATATAATATTTTCTTTATCCACCAATCTGTTGAAGGATACATCAGTTGATCCCATATCTTGTCTATTATAAATAATATTGCAATGAACATGGGAGCTCAGAGATATCTCTTTGATATACTGATTTCATTTCTTTGGCCTGTATACCCAGTAGGGAGATTGCTGAATCATGCTGAATCATATGATAGTTATATTTTTAATTTTTGAAGAACCGCTATACTGTTTTTCATAATGGCTGTACTAATTTTCATTCCCACCAACAGTGGACCAGAGTTCCCTTTTCTCCATATCCTCTCCAAAATTTGTTATCTTCTGTATTCTTGGTAATAGCCATTCTAACATGTATGAGGCAATATCTCATTGTGGTTTTAATTTGCATTTCCCTGATGATTAGTGATGTTGAGCATTTTTTCATACATCTGTTGGCCATTTGCATGTCTTCTTTTGAGACATGTGTATTCAGTTCCTCTGCTTATTTTGCATTTGTCTTGTTTCCTTGATATCGAGTTATATGTGTTTCTTACACTGGATATTAATCCTTAATCAGATATATGGTTTGCAAATATGTCCTCCCATTGTAGGTTGTCTTTTCACTCTTTGGTTGTGTCTTTTGTTCCGCAAAACCTTTTTAGTTTGATGCAATCTCATTTGTCTTTTTTGCTTTTGTTACCTGTGCTCTCAGAGTCATATCAAAAAAACATATTGCCCAAACCAGCATCAGTAAGTTTTCCTTTTATGTTTTCTAGTACTTTTACAGTTTCAAGTCTTCTATTTAAGTCTTTAATTCATTTTGAATTGACTTTTGTATATGGTGTAAGATAAGGATCCAATTTCATTCTTTTGCATGTGGATATCTACTTTTCCTAACACCTTTATTGAAGAGACTGTCTTTTCCCTGTTGTGTTATTGGGACCCTTGTTGAAAATCAATTGACTATAAATGCATGGATTAACTTCTGGGATCTCTCTGTATTCTGTTCCTTGGAGTAAATATCTTTTTTTCTTTTAAAAAATGCCAGTACTATGCTGTTTCAGTTACTCTAGCTGTGTAACATAATTTGAAATCAGGTAGTATGATGACTTTTAGCTTTGTTCTGTGTTGCTCAAGACTGCTTTAGCTATTTGGAGTCTTTAGTAGTTTCATATAAATTTTAGGATTTTAAAAAATATTTCTGAGAAAAATCTCATTAGAAATCTGATAAGGATTGCATTGAATCTCTAGGTCATTTGGGTATAATAGACATTTTAACAATATTGATTTTTCAGATCCGTAAGCCAGAGATATTTATTTGTGTCTTCTTCAGTTTTTTTAATCAATGTTTTTTAGTTTTCATTATACAATGGATCATGGGAGTTTAAAACAATTACATACTTTCGATTTTTTTTGTTAAAACTCCCATTTTGTGCATCATAGAATGTACTTCCCTAAAAATGAAATGAATTTATAAGGAACAGGAACATATTTCCTCATTCCTTTTAATTCCCTCTTCAGTATTTTTGTCGTCATGTTAGGGTCAGCAAATATCTGTGTTACTGGCAGTGAATCCATATCGGTCTGCGACAGCCTCAATTCTTGCCTCATCAGAAGAAAGAATTCAACTGAGGGCCATAAGGCAGAAAAAGGGACTAAGGCAAGTTTCAGAGCAGGAGTCAAAGTTTGTTAAAAAGCTTTAGAGGAGGAAAGAAAGGAAAGTACACAAGTACACAAGTGGCCACTTTGGAGGTCAAGTGCGGAGTTTGACCTTTTGACTTGTGGATTTATATGTTGGCATATTTCCAAGGTCTTGCATTCCTTTTCCTATGATTCTTTTCCTATGATTCTTCCCTTAGGGTGAGCTGCCCACATGCATTGTGCCCTTCTTGCACTTGGGAGGGGAGCATGCACAGTGTGTTCAGGAATCATGTTGTACACATGCTCACTTCCCTTTCTGGTGGAATGCCCCTGGATGGTCATACTCTGCCATTTTGTCTTTTAATATGCATGGTCAAGCCCACTCTTTCAATTCCTGAGATTTTATTGGGAGCCACCAGTTACCAATTTCAAGTGTTTTTATCTATTAGGAAATTGCCTTCCCCTCATACTGGCTGTGACCAATTATCATTTTTAGAAAGGCAGGGTGACAACTGCTGAACCATCTGCTGATGGTTGCTTGACATTCCTGGTGGGTGCCGGGAGCCCTCTCCTGCCCTGACCGTGCCTGACTAGCTACCTACTATAACAACCACACTATGTATTTTGTAGTTCGGTACATTTTAATTTTTCCCTGAAATATTTTAGCCACACATTTCAATATCCCAGTATTACTTTATATTTTTGTCACTTGTAATTGTGGTTGTGTTTTTACTATTAATAATACAAATACAATAATATAGTATTCAAAGGTTAACAAATGTAAAACATGTGGTTTCAAAACTTAATTTAAATCGGGTTAATGAGTATTTCAATTTTCACTATGTAAACCGAAAGTAAAATTCTAATAAAATTTATAAGGAACCAACCAACCGACCAACTGAATGGACCCTCCTGTCAGCCAAGGGGATTCCAAAGAAACTTGAAAAACTAGTACAGGTCATGATGGGAAGAGGGGGCCAGACATACCACATCGCACCCTCTTCCTTTTAGAGTTTAGACACAACTGAGCAGCATTAACATTAAAATATACATCCTAAGACTGACATAACAGACTCTTTGTAGCAATAAGAAACCAACTCCAACCTGACTCTGGAATAACATCACATGATAGATGACAGGCCCTAAAAGAAACCAAAGTATTTTACCCCAAAATATATTTCTTTGACATATTTTGGAATGGGCCTACAAAGCCATCTCTTGTGGGGAAAATTTACATCTTATAGAGAACCTCCCTTCCCTTTCTAGGTTGTTTCCTGATACCGGAGAGATTTAACTAATAGCCTGACACCTTTTAAGATCTGTTAAGAAGCCAGGTGCGGTGGCTAACCCCTGTAATCCCAGGACTTTGGGAGCCAAGGCCGGTGGATCATCTGAGGTCAGGAGTTCGAGACCAGCCTGGTCAACATGGCGAAAGCTGTCTCTACTAAAATTACAAAAATTAGCTGAGTGTGTTGGTGCGCACCTGTAATTGCAGCTACTCAGGAGGCTGAGGCAGGAGAATCGCTTGAACCCGGGAGTCAGAGGTTGCAGTGAGCCGAGATCACACCATTGCACTCCAGTGTGGGTGACAGGGTGAGACTTCATCAAAAAAAAAAAAAAAAGATTTGATAAGAAACGTTTACCATCTATTCTCTGAAGTTGGCTACCTGAAGACCTCATCTACATATCTACATAACAAGAAACTTGGCTTCCACAATTCTCCTTATCTTCACCCCAAGCAATTTTTTCTCCTTACTTCAACTCTTTAGACTAAACTCTTTCCACCCAACTGCCAATCGGGAAATCTTGAAATCCACGTAGGACCTGAAGTCCACTCCCCCACCCCCACCAATTCCCATGATGCCCTTTGAGATGCACCACCCTTCCAGGCCAAACCAATGCATACTTTACATGTATTGATTTATGTCTTTGCCTGTAATTTCTGTCTCCCTAACCCAACCACTGGGGCGCATGTCCTCAGGATTTCCTGAGGCTGTGTCATGGGTCATGACTCTCACATTTGGCTCAGAATAAAACTCTTCAAATATTTTACAATTTGGCTTTTTCATCAACAACGATCTCATGGTTAAATTTTATAGGGATTCTTTTCTAAGTGACATTTTCTTTTGCATGGAAAGGAGGATAAACTGTACACTTTTGATCAGTAAGGAGATTGTCAGATAACTAATCAAATATCAGAGGTGGAAAGGGTCTTACTATTCATATTGCCTGAATACATTATTTTATATTTGTGGATACTGAGAAACAGACAGCAAAGTGATTTGCCCAAAGACCTGTAGTGATGAGTACCAGAATTTGGATATGTGTAGAGCAAGTATGATCTGAAATTCTCTTAGACATTTGTTTCTACAAATTTATCTGTTCTTTTTAGTTTGACATTTTTTCTTTGAAATGTTTTACCATTAGAAATCAACTTTCAAAATAATACATATAACAAATATATAAATATTTACACATACATACATATACACACATACACGTGGCTTATGTATAACATCCTATAAAAATAAAAACTAAAATACAAAATCATCAGAAAATGCTTAATAATGTGTTTTAAAAGAATATCCTTTAATCACTTTTTTTTCTATTTCTGTAAGTAAAGCTGGCTGGAAGAGATAGTAATACATTAATACACTAATTTAATCCACTAAAATGTTAGATTAAAAAATAAAAGCACATTTCAAAAGTCTTTGAGATAAAACAGATGTGAGTTGGAAAATAAGCAGAATAAAGGGAAGCTAATTTATCTAACTAAAATTAATATGAAATGCAATTTTAATGGAAAGAACCATTTAAGGAACTCAGAGGGAAATAAATTTGATAACCTCATAATAACAACAGGAGTCCAATTACTAATGTAAAAATAAATCAGTAAATAATCAACCATTGCGTTAATCTCATGAACTAAATTATCACTTTTTGCACACAGAAACTCAAGTAATATTGTATGACCCAATTTTAATTCAAACAATTTATTCAAGAAATAGTTATCTTGGTTTTGGGTTAGGATACAGAAATTTATGAGACTGTCACTTTCATCCTAATAGACAGATAACCTTTAAAATCAGAGTTTCATTATTGTCTGTGGGTTGTGTGTGCATATGTGTGTTGTTTTTCCTATTAGACGTAAAGAAATTTAAATAAACCAAATTCCCGGAAAGTGATAAACACTTCCTAGAAAAACAAACACACCAAGAAAACCCCCAAAGCAAATGGATGGGTGGTAGAATGAAGAGAAATGTACCATAGACAAGGTCAGGAAAAATAGACCTTTTAACAAACTTTTAATAGATTTTTGTGGGCTGACACAATGTTTCTATCCTACTACATTTGACTGCCAACTATTTTTCTTCATTGCCTAGGTTAATATGCCAAACACTGGGCCACAGCACTAAGTTGTACAGAGCCTGATGAAGCCTTGAAGGAAGCCAGGAGTTCAGAGATAAACTCCTCTTAAACCCATAAGATTTTTGCCAATGGTAACATAGAGGCTGTGAAGGCTAAAGCTTGAGTAAGAGAACTGTGAAAAATCACCCCAAGGTTCTCTAGACAGTCATTGAGTGTACTCTACAAGCCCTCCAATGGTAAGAAGCAGGGAAAAAATAGATGAGAAAAGATATTCTGACATGCAGAATGTCTCTGGAAGGACTGGAGAGTAAAGAGAACTCCAAAGTGACCCGAAAAGTTGGAAGTGAGGCTGGGAAGCAGAGAAAGAAAGAGAGAAAGAGAGCGAGAGAGGGACAGAGAGAGAGAGAGAGATGATATAATTAAGATAATAACTTGGTTATTAACCACAGAGACCTGTGAGAACTTGCGGTGTTCAGATCTTGAGTTCTCCTGAAGAAAAGCTCCTAATCTCATACTCAAATTATTTGAAACCAATGGTATAGTGAAGCTAACAAAAGCTGCATCAAAAACCAGACTGAGTTCTATTATAGCCCATTACCCTTACAGAGCCTTACATATTTGTGTGCCTTTGTCTGAGAGTAAATGTCATACACTTCAATCTCCACAGTTATTTCCTACACAATATTTGTCATACATTAAAATTTCTGAGACATGACAAGAAGCAAGAAAATGTTGCCTTTGTTTGAAAAAATAATTCAGTGCAGCAAATCAAGAAATGGCTCAATGTTGGGATTATTAGGCAGAGATCTTATAGCAACTGTAATAAATGTTTTAAAGAATCAACTGGAAAAAATATGTGAAGAAATGGGAAATTTCAGCAGACAGATGATAATTATCAGAGTAAGGAAAGTGGAAATGTTACAAATGAAAAAAATGCTATTAGAAACGAAGAACTCATTTGATTTGCTTAGCAACAGAGGAAAGATCAGTGAGGTTAAATATAGATTTTTAGAAATAATCCAAAGTAAAATACAAAAGACATGAGTGTCTTATTTATTCTGGATATTAACCCCTCGCCAGATGTATGAAGTATTTTCTCCCATTCGTCTCTTCACTCTGTTGATTATTTTCTTTGTTGTGCAAAAGCTTTTTATTTAATACAATCCCATTTGTCTATTTTTGCTTTTTTTTTTGCCTGTGCTTTTGAAATCTTATCTAAAAAGTCCTTCTCCAGTCCAATGTCTTGCAGTATTTTCTCTATGTTTTCATCAAGGTAAAAGGCCTTACTAGATGTCTCTCAAAAGAAGACATACAAATGGCCAATAGGTATATGAAAAAAAATAGTAAACATCACTAATTATAAGAAAAATGCAAATCAAAAGCACAGTGAGATATCACCACTCCAGATAGACTGGCTATTATCAGAAAGAGAAAAGATAACAAATGTTGATGAGGATGTGGAGAAATAGAAACCCTTACACACAGTTGGTTGGAGTGTAGTTAGTATAGCTGTTAAGGAAAACAGTACAGAGATTTCTTGAAAAATTAAAAAATAGAACTACCACATAATCCAGCAATCTAGTTTTCTAGCTATGTATCCAAAGTGAGTAAAATCAGTATACTGAAGAGGCATCTGCACCTCCATGTTTTTACTGCAGCGCTATTCACAATGGCCAAGACATTGAATCAACTGTCTCCAACAACAGATGAATAGATTTCAAAATGGTTTATCTGTACAAAGACATACTATTCAGTCATTTAAAAAGGGAAATCCTGTCATTTGTGACAATATAGATAAACCTGAAGAACATGATGTTCAGTGAAATAAGCCAGACACAGAAAGACAAATACTGCATAATTTCACTCATATGTGGAATCTTAAAAAGTTGTTTTTATACAATTCATGAATAAAACTGTTTGCCAGAGACTGGGGATGACATGGAGCAGGAGAGAGAAGGAAAGGTTGGTCAATAGGTTTAAAGTTACAACAGAGAAGAAGAATAAGTTCTGATTCCCTTTCACACAGTAAGGTGACTGTAGTCAACAATAAGTTGTGGTATATTTCAAAATAGCCAGGAAATAAGATTATGGATGTTCCTACCATAAAGAAATAATAAATGTTTCAGGTGATAGATATGTTAATTTCTCTGAATTGATCATTACCAGTGGGTTCATGTATCAAAACATCCCATGATAGCCCATAAATATGTACAAGAACCAAGTGTCACTTAAAGAAAAAAGACCTAAGAGTGAAAATAGAAAACGAGTTTTTGACACAGTGTCTCTACATATGAATAATTACATATTCTGAGGAACAATATCAATGTTTCTACCTATGAGTAATTAATGTCTCAGAAGAAGAGAAAGAATGGGGTAAAGAAACATTTGAAGTAATAGTGGTTGAGAATTTTTGAAAATTAAAGAAAATGATCATTTCAGAGATCCAAGAAGTTCAGTAAAACCTAAGCAGAGCACAAATGGGCAAGAAAAAAATAAATTTTAAAACATTCTTAAAGTTTACTAGGGAGCCATTATGCTAGTATAGAAAATCTGTAGACTACATCTGTGAGTAAAGTTTGTAAACATCTATAAATCCTTTTCCATAGGGTTCAATGGGTAATCACAAAGAAGAACGGGGCAGAGCTAGAGAACAGAGAGAACGCTTTTTGTGACTCAAGTGTGCAGAAGGTAATCAACTCTTCCTAAGGATCAGGTATGGAAACAATCTGGTTCCCTAAACTCTTCTTTCATATGAATCAATTTGTTTTTTAATGCTAAGGTGTCAGCAAACCTCTCATCCTCAAGTCCAACACAATGATCTATTATTTTGGGGGAAGGTGATGCAGCAACCTCCCCCCCTCCCCCACTTCTGGGAGATGAGGTATAAAACTTTATTACCCTTAGAACTCAGAAAAAGGTCCATTGTTTCTGGGGAAATAAATAAGCAAAAGTACTTTAACCCATAAGGAATGGTCAAGACAATCTCTTGGACCCAGGATTTTGCATGATTTCGAAGCAGAGTTTTGCTACCACTTGGAGAGGGGCAATAAAGACTCTCTCACACAGGATTTTCCACAAATAGAAGACAGATTTTTGCTATAAGGAGAGTGATAAATACTCTCTAGAAAGAAACCCTATGTCTAAGGAAAAGACATATTGGGCCTGCCTAAAACTTGGCTTGTCCAGAAGAAAAGAGAGTCCTCTGCACCCCTCATAATCCTAGTATTGAGCAACAAGTACTCCTAGGGTAAGAGCAAGAGTTTTGAGTTTGTGTTCATTGCGGAGGTCTATGATGACTGTTAAAAGCCCTGAGGGTGGGGCAGAAATACACAGAACAATTATTCAACACATCATGCCCTCTCCTAGCATGAGTAACAGCAACTTTCTTCTAAAGATGATGATAACGACAATAATACCCAAACCCTTCTCAACTCCTGATTAGAACAATTCATGTCTGACACTAATGACCTCACTGAAAAAGACCTATGCAAATATTCAGGCATAAATAGTATTTATCTATGTTACTACTGATATCCTACAAAGGATTTTGGACAGTTAATTAAAATATATAAAAGAGACTAAAAAAGCAATAATAAAATCCAACAATGCTACCAGATAAGCAACCAGGAACAACATAGTTAAACATGTCACACATGTTGGAAATAACAGACAGAGACATTCCAATAACTATGCCCAATATGTTTATCTATTTAAAGAAAAATGTCAAAATCATTTATGAACAGATAAGACACTTCAATAGAGATGGGTAATATAATAATGTCACACTGAAATTCCAGGAAAACACACACACTATGAGATGAGATGAATTCCTATACACACACACACTATGAGATGAATTCCTGTACACATACACATACACACACAGTATGACATGAAATATTCCCATAATGAAGTTTCCAGTAGAATGGAAAACACTAAGGAGAGCATCATTCATCTTAAATATATATCAATAAAAGTTATCAAACTGAAACAACAAAAGAAAAATGTGAAAAACAAAGAAGATAGCATCTACAAGCTTTGTCACTATATCAAATGGCCTAACATATATGTAAGTGAACTCTTGGAAGGCAAATAGATATAGAGAAGAAGAAATATAAAAAAGAGAAATAACTAAGAACTTTAGCTAGCAAAGTAGATTAAATACAACTATATAAGAAATTTTATTAGTGTAATGGTTGAACACCCTGATTAAAAATAAAGACATTTTCAAAAAAAGATAAATATATACTTTCAACAGGACACTTATTGTAACTTTAAAAACCTAAGTAAGTTAAAAATCGAAGATTATAAAAAGACATTCCATGCTAACAATAATCAAAAGAAAGCTGGACTGGCTATATTAACCATATGACAAAGTAGACCTTAGAATTAAAAGTATCACTAAGACTAATGGGGTACGGTATATATAAGTAACAAGATCAGTTCACCAGGAAAATTTAAGATCTTAAAAATGTGTAAAAGAACTGAGAGAATTGAAAGAAGAAATAGAAAAACAGAAATATAAAAAGAATTTAAACTCCTTCAATATTTTTCACTTTAATTGTATGTTGAAATAATAATATGATAGAGCTATGATGTTAAAATATATTATTAAAACTAATTTTACCTTTTTTATGACATCTGTGGATCACATCATATTTTTATTGAGTGGTGCTGCATTAGAGTAACTAAACAATTGTACATTAGAACACATTTGGTTAGAACCTATGAACAACAATCTAATTCTGGGGTATTTCACTTGGTATTCACTGCCTTATACTGTGATGCAATCTATAGAAAGAGATTACAATGCAAAAATATGGAAAACTGTTTACAAAGGGTTACATCAATGGTATGTTTAAAACATTTCTGTGATTTCCAAGCCTTTCTGTGCTCAATATGAACTCAATATAAACCAAAAATGACAGTAAATGGATTATTTAAAACTTGAAATGACTTGAATTATATATTTTTAACTGATTATTTTTTTAAATGGTGAGTACGGTAAGTTTGTATGTTTATTTTTTAACTGTCCTTTATTTCAAAAATTACTCTGTGCATTGTAAAAAAGAAAAAGAAAACAAGGTATGAAAACTTTTTTTGGAGATGAGATAAGGGAGATACAAAGAAAATATAGATGGGTATGTTAGATGAGGCTAGACAAAGAAAATATAGATGGGTATGTTAGATGAAGCCAGTGATAAAATTTAGCTCTCAAGGTACATGTCAGATCATGTAACTTGTCAACAGTAGGTCAAAATTTGACTTTCTATTTTCTAGCCACTCTAGAAAAGAGAAAAATGCATTGATTTACAAGATCCACAGTGTGAAAACAAAAATGAAAATAAATTAAAAAAATAAAACTTGCTCAGACTATTAAAGACTTAAAGAAAGATGTTTCTTTGTTTTCTGTAGGGTGCTATGTAATGAGTAAACATGGCAATAAAATTCTTACCATAAATGCATAAACCAATATCAAAAAGCTATCTGCCAATAAACTATTTGATGTATATCTTCTGTATAACAACACAGCTCAATTTCATAAAATCCAGTCAACAAGAGAGCTAAATAATTCTTTCTGAACACATATATCATGATCTGGTATAATGCAAGTATACAAGATAAGCTATTTACAGAGAATAATGAATTTCAGATCACACAGGTAATCTTTATATTGATCACTGACTATGTGTTTGGTTAGTATTAAGCAGCATAAAAGTTGTAGTTAAGAGTTGCCAAAAGATAGCTGGGAGTGACACCATTTCAGTTTTCCAATTTATTAATATGGAACTAGAATTAACATTCTCTAATAAAAATGGAAATATCTGCCAGAATAGGCAGTATATATATGTGGTTTTGGGTCAGTTATAGAGACACACACACACACACACACACACACACACACACGTGTGTATATATGTACATATTATACATAAATTATATTCACAGATCTATGAATTTCACAAAATGAACACATTTCTGTAATCAGCATCCAAATCAAGAAACAGAATAGTACACCTAGAAGGCCCCATGCCTCCCCATAGTCTCCTCTTCTAAAATGATTTCTACTCTGCCTTTTCTAACAGCATAAATAGTTGTTAGAGGTTTTTAAACTTTATGTAAGTGGTATTATATAGTATATACTGCATTGAATTTGGCTTATTTTAATTAATATTGTTTGTGGAATTTATGCATTTTGTTTTATGTACTTTTATAATTATAAAATCTTATTTAATGACATAATTAAATTGTTTTATCTTATAAAAAATTATTATTACATATTATAATGGCCTAAATATTTGTGTCCCCTCAAATTCATAAACTGAAGTCCTAACCCCCAATCTGATGGTATTAGGAAATGGAGCCATTACAAGGCAATCAGGTCTAGGTGAAGTCGTGAGGGCAGATCCCCTATGATGGAATTAGTGCTCTTATATGATGAGGAGAGTCAGTGCATCTTCTCTCCGTCATGTAAAGATAAAACTGGAAGGCAGCCTATTGCCAGCCAAGAAGAGGGCCCTCAACAGAACCTGACCATTCTGGCACCATCATCTAAGCCTTCCAGGGTCCAGAACTGTGAGCAATTATTTTCTGTTATGTAAGCCACCCAGTATATGGTATTTTATTATGGCATCCCAAGCCAACTAAAACACATACTTATTAGAGAAATGAATTGAAATTTCGAAATGTAAATAATATATCCTCTCCAACTTTGTGGGTTTTTTTATTTGTTTGATGATGCCTTTGGATTAAATAGAAGTTTGAATGTAGAAGTTTAAATGTAGTCTAGTTTATTATCCTTCCTTTATTGTTAATACTATTTATGGCTTAAAAAATATTTGCCTAAACTAAGATTATAACCAAAATTTTCTGTCATTCCTCTAAAGTATTTTTATTTTTTCATTACTGTTTAAGTTTAAAATATTTTAAGCATTAGGTTTTCTATATAATGTAAGACAGAAGTTCAGAAACATTCTCCCCCATCATGGATATCCAATTGACCCAAAACCATTTATTGAAAATCAAAACAAAAACAAATTTATTGTTTCTTACTCTTATTCAATGCCATCTTTATAATTCAAATGTCAATACATGTGTGGATCTGTTTCTGGATTCTAATCCAGTGGCCAATTTGTCTATTTTCACACAAATAGCATAATGTCTTAATTCATCTAGGTTTATGATATATCTTGATATTTATCTGGTGTTATAAGTCCTCCAGAATTGTTTTTCTATAAGTTTCTTGAACTTAGCATTTGAACTTTATAATTAGAGATAAAGACAATTTATCTATTTTATTATTTACCAAAAAAATTTAATGGGATTTATGTTGGAATTCAAATGTATCTATAGAAAAATTTGGGGAGAATTTTCATGTCTATAATATGAAGTCTTGCTAATCCCTTCATTTAATTGTCTATTTTAATTTCTCCTTATCATTTGTAGTTTTTAGTATAGAAGTCTGTATCTGTCCCAAATAGTTTCAGAATATTTGTAAATATCATTAAGGGAAAATTCAATGACTTGATCTCACTTCTCTATCCCTCTGTTCTGTTGGAGTTTTAGTTCACTAGAATCTCTAATTTTTGTCTCTTCATCTCTTTAAGACCTACAAAAGCTTCAATAGGTTTGTCTACCTCTAAATACAGTCCCCTGCTTGGGCCCTTTGCCCAGATATTTAGCTTCCTGTCATGCACCCCTCATTAGCAAATGTGCCAAAGGGAAAAAAGCTGTGTCTCACTGCTAAACAAAATGTTCCCTCCTCTGAAATGTCATCTCCTCATTTCCTGTTTCCCCGTTACTTATCCAATCTCTTTGAGATGCAATTTGTTGTTCTGCTCTGATTTTTTATTCAGCCCTTCTAGTTGTTGCTAGTCAGTGACAGTTGCATTCACTTATCACAAATGGGAGCAGAAGGTCTTTCCACACACTTTTTACTAATTCCCATTTATTCTGTGGAAAGGTTTCTTTACATATGAATTGCCCTTAACTATCGATTTTATCATATATTATTCCATATAAAAGATATCTGGAAATTTTTACAGAACTATAATCTGACTATACAACCATCTCTTTAAAGGGACTGTGTTAAGAGGGGGCCACAGAACTCCTTAATATTGAGAAGCCTAATTGAGAAGGTTGGCACTTTGTTTATGTGTGCCTGTGTTTAGCATATTTGCTTTCTAAATAAAAAGAAGAACATAGAGACTTTAACAATATAAAATTCAGAAAGATATCCAAACATAGGATGTTCAACCAAAGTGCAGTGGCAGTTCAGTGAAGAAAGAATAATCTCTCAAGAAATGATGATGAGGCAATTGAGTACTTATATCCAAAAAATGGAATAAATCATTGCTTCATACCAAATACAAAATTGAAATAAATTAATGTACAATTAGTTCATAATATAAACCCAATAAAACATTTAAAGGAAAATATAGGATAAATTATTTGTGATCTTGGGTTATGCAGAGATCTTCTAGAAACAACACTAAAAGCATGAAGCATAAAGAACACATTTGTAAGTTAAACTCATCAGGACTTTCAAATGTTCTGCTCTTTGAAAGGCACTGTTAAGAGAATAAGAAAACCCATTGACTAAATGAAAATATTTATCCATTACATATCTGATAAAGGCCTAATATCCAGGATATATTTTAAAAACTCTAAAAATTCAATAAGAAAAAAATCACCCCAATTATAATATTTATTAGCAAATGCTTTGAACAGATACTATGAAAGAAAATACACAGATGGCAAATAAGCCAATTAGCAAATTAATGTTGCTCAACATTGTTAGTCATCAGAGAAATGCAAATTAAAGCCACATTGAGATCTCTCCACACACCTATCAGATACCTGAATGTAGATTTTAATAAAAAAAAAAAAACTAATTGTTTAAATGCTGCCTTTAGGCTGTATAAAATTCCTAATACTTTCCTTTGGAAGAATTATGAAAGAAGTATAGTCAAAAGACTCAAAAAGCTCAGACGCATTTCCCTAAATATGTTTTGGAATTTGTTAACAGACGTTATAATCAAATACCTCCTGGTGTGGGCTGAGCTTTTGGGGGATATATTTCTCCAAAATGTTTATGTTGAAGTCCTAACTCCCACTATCTCATGATGTGACTTTATTTGGAGATAGAGTTTTTAAACAGGTAATTAAGTTTAAATGAGAACCATTACGGTGGTCCTAATCAAATGTGACTAATGACCCTATAGGAAGAAAAGATTAAAACACAGACAGGGACTGAGGAAAGACCATAAGGAGACAGAGGGTAAAGACTGCCATCTCCAAGGCAAATAGGCCGTAGAAGAAAGAACACTGCCATATAACCTCTAGAACTTTGAGAAAGTACATTTCTGCTTAAACCACTCAGCACTTTGTTGTGCATCCCTAACAAACTAGTATAGTTCTCATGAATTAATTCATTTAGAAATGTTGAAGTCAAATTAATTGGACTCACTTATTGTAATGCTTCTAAAAAGCCTTTATTTGTTATCTTATTCTGAGCAGCTGAAAAGGGGAAACAAATTCTTTAGAATTTTATAAGCTTATTTAACAATGACTCTTTTTCTATTCAAGGACATCTTAAAGATCTAGGGTTTGATGGAAACACTTTGGTGAATAATGAACTAGAAAACAATAATATTCATTAAGAAAAAAATAAAGCCAGTAGCTGTCAACCTGATTATATAATTAAGTAAGACTTAGCCTAAGTCCAAGTTTCATTCAAAAAACATTGGATCCAATTGTTCCAAAGCAGAGACACCTGAAAAAACACTAGTCTCTTAATTATTTTAAAAATATGTGTAGACTACCTTAAAATAATTTTTAAATCTTAATGTCCTGTTCAGTATTGTTTCAAAATATTTTCTTTATTATTTAAAATTAGTGAGTGGGTCAGGTGCAGTGGCTCATGCCTGTAATCCCAGCACTTTGGGAGGCCAAGGCGGGTGGATCACCTAGGGTCAGGAGTTCAAGAACAGCCTGACCAACATGTTGAAACCCTGTCTCTATTAAAAATACAAAAAAAATTAGCCGAGCGTGGTGGCACATGCCTGTAATCCCAGCTACTTGGGAGGCTGAGGCAGAAGAATTGCTTGAATCCGGGAGGCAGCAGTTGCAGTGAGCTGAGATCATGCCACTGCACTCCAGCCTGGGTAACAGAGCCAGACTCCATCCCAAATAAATAAATAAATAAGTGAGTACAGTGAATTCTGCTTGTGGATAAAATGAAATTTTGCAGCAATTCAACTGGAAAAGTTAAGAAATTACAAGATAAGCTAATTGTTGTTAAAGCTATCAAAGATCTTTTGAAGCAAGGAAGACTTGAAAGGTAGAATAAATACAGGTAGACAAAGGCTACTATTGCCAGTTGGGCTGGAATTCTACCTAAATATATGTAGGAAATTTTTTTTATCTTATTCAGAACAGCTGAAAAGGGGGAACAATTTTTTTAGAATTTTATAAGCTTATTTAACAATGATTCTTTCTATCCAAGGCCAAATTTCTCTGAGGAGATTTGAAAGTATTTGATGCACACTGATGTTGAAAATCTGGACTTAGCCCAAATACAGGGAAACTTTTATGGTAGCAAAGAAACAAGTGTTGGTGGTCACACTAGGCTGAATTGACAAAATTGGCAAGTTGAGAGGAATCAAAATGAAAGTAATTCTCCTTCTCAACACATTTGTCAGATTCTTCAACCGAATGAAGCCACGGGTGAAAGCTAAGCTTAAAACACCTATAAGACAGAATTCAGTCATATGATGCTTTTCAGAAATATAGAGAAATACCCACCTGGAATTAAGCTGAAAGTCTTGTAAGCCATATCCCAGGAAGAGAAAAAAGAAAACTAGAGATAGACTGAGGCTTACCAAAACTGCAACCTAATCTTTTTCTACTACAGTTCCTCCAGCATTAAGGTGAATACAGAAAAATATTGTCCTCTTGAGAGGGATATAATTTCATCTGAAAATTCTGCAGTTGAGTTATCCAAGATTTATGGCATATAACACAAAAATAATAATACAAATGTGAATAGGTAACACCGTAAGACCAATCATAAGGAGAATAAAATTACAATGGAAACAGAGCTACAGATTGTCTACATGTGAAAATTATCAGGCTTTGATTTTAAGATTATGATCAGTTTTGTTCAATAAAATAGAGGAAAATTTGACAAAATAATTGAGAGGATGAAAAAAAAATGTACCTGACATTGAGATTTATAAAACAGAATCAGACTCAAGAAATGAACACTAATTACTTAAAGTTAACAATAAAATATATGGTTTAAACAACAGCAAAGAAGACACAAAAAGCATATACAAGATTAAAGAAACCCACAACTAAGCACATCATAAAGAAATTGCTAGAAATAAAAAAAGATGAGAAAATATTAAAAGTGACAAAAATTGTACATTTGCTTCAAAGAAACAGCAATTAAACTGACAACTATCAATGTGGATGATGAGATGCAGAAAATCAAATAAAAAAGACAGTTTTAACTACTGAGAAACGGTGTAATGCATAACTATAAATATATGTCCTGTTAAAGCTGTTTGGGGATAATTCTCTCTGGATCTCTCAAATTTCTGTACATCATCTGAACATAGAAGCAGAAAAAAAAGATTCTATTAAGAAACAAAATAAATGAATGGAGGAATAAAGAGCACCGAAAAGGTATACAGTTGAATGAATTCAAGTAAATATAGAATACAAAATAATCTGAGTAGTGTCTTGTATAGTTTAACATTTGCTTTAAATTGAAATACAATATGAAATATGCAATAATGAAAAAGTAAGAAGGCATATATGGAATAAAATGTTTGTAAGCTACTTGGTAGTTTATAAGCTGATGTCAAAAAAGTAATTATTTATAAATTATCGTAAGTGATGGATGCATGTTATAGTTTTAAGGTAACAACTATATAAATAGCAAAATAAATATAATAAACAAATTGATAAAGGAAAAAATTCTGATAATAAAAGAAAAATAATGTTACAAAAAGGGAAAAAAAGGAGAATAAAGGGACATAAACTAATTAGAAGGTATTAATAAACTCCAAGATATGTGTAACTACGTTACATATAAATGGTCTAAATTTCAATTTATAAATAAGAGATTAAGTAAATGTTTAAAATTGCCAAAATGAATTAAAAATATATGATGGTTATAAGAGGCATATCTTGAGAGTATAAGAAGTCAGAAGGGCTTAATGAGACATGGTGCAGTAAGATGTAGCCTATAAACACTAAATTAATGAGAGCTGTTGGTGAAATATTAATATCAGGCTAAGAGAACTTTAAAGCAAGAAGAAATATTAGAGATTAAAAAGAATATTTCAGAAAAATAATGAAACCAATCTAATAGGAACATTTCAAAATCCTAAATCTATATATTCCTAACAACATAATTTCAACAGTATATGCTAAATAATTTTTTGCATAAGTAGCTGTATATTTTACAGTAGATTAATACTATTTTTTAATATGGACTAATAGTTCAGTGCTTTCCATACAATGTGTAGAAGTTCAGTACCACCACTTAATAATAAAAACTTTATGTTTGGGTATTTCTAATGGGTCATTTTTAATTTAGGGTTTTCACATATTCTTATTTAAAAGGAAAATATTGATCATACTTTAAACCTTTGCTTCTCAAAATTGACCTGCAATAGCACTCAAATTAATGCTTTTAAAAATTGTTCCTTTTGCAGAGCAGTAGATTTCTGTTGCCTAGATAAAGAGCTGAATCCCATATTAATACAGAAGGCATCTTAATCTGAATTAGGAAATTATTTTCCATTCTAATTTGCATGAAAACCATTTCAATGATATTGATTATTTTAATTAACAATAACTTAATAATTGTCTTTTATACAATTATTAATTTAATACTTTCATTAAATTATGACATTTTGAGAAAAAATAATTTTAAAAAATGAACAAATCCTCCAAGAAATATGGGATTATGTCAAATAGCCAAACCTAAGAATAATTGGTGTTACTTAGCAGAAAGAGAAATCTAAAAGTTTGGAAAAAATATTTGAGGGAATACTTGTGAAAAATTCCCTGGCCTCTCTAGAGATCTAGACATTCAAATACAAGAAGCTCAAAGAGCACATGGGAAATTCATCACCAAAAGATTATTACACAGACAGCTAGTTATCAGGTTATCTAAAGTCAAGACAAAGAAAATAATCTTAAGAGGTGTGAGGCGAAAGTTTTAGGTAACCTATAAAGGAAAACCTATCAGACTAACAGCAGATTTCTCAGCAGAAACTCTATATGCCCAAAGGGATTGGGGTTCTATCTTTAGCCACCTCAAACAAAATAACTTCCAGTCAAGAATTTTGCACTCAGCAAAACTAAGCTCCATTAAGAAGGAGAGATAAAGTTTTTTTCAGACAAATGATGAGATAATTTGACACTACAAAGCCAGCACTACAAGAAATGCTAAAAGGAGTTCTAACTCTTGAAACAAAACTTCAAAATACACTAAAATAGAACCTCCTTAAAGCATAAATCTCACAGGACCTATAAAACAGTAACATAATGAAAGAAAATAACAAGGTATTTAGGCAACAACTAGCATGATGATTAAAATGGTACTTCACATCTCAATACCAATGATTTAATACAAATGGTGTAAATACTCCACTTAAAAGATACAGAATGGCAGAATGATTAAAAATCCACCAATCAAGTATCTCCTGTCTTCAAGAGACTCATTTAATAAATAAGGATTCTCATAAACTTGACATAAGTGGGTGGAAAAAGATATTCCATGCAAATGGACACCAAAAGCAAGCAGGAGTAGCTATTCATATATCAGACAAAACAAAATTTAAGGCAACAACAGTTAAAAAAGACAAAGAGGGCCATTACATAATGATAAAAGGACTTTTCCAACAGGAAAATATCAGAATCCTAAATGTATGTGCACCTAACACTGGAGCTCACAAACTCATAAAAAACAATATTGAGCCTAAGAAATAAGATACACAAAAACACAATAATAGTGAAGGACTTCAATATTACACTGAAGGCACTAGACAAGTCATCAAAACAGACTCAACGAAGAAACAATGGATTTAAACTATGACATAGAACAAGGAGACAACAGATATTTACAGAACATTCTACCCAACAACAGCAGAATATACACTCCATTCATCAGACCATGGAACATTTTATAAGATATGCCATATGCTAGGCCACAAAACAAGTTTCTGTAAATTTAAGAAATTTGAAATTATATCAAGTACCCCCTCAGACCACATGGAAAGTAACTAAAAACTCCAAAAGGAACTCTCAAAATTATACGAATAAATGGAAATTAGATAATCTGCACCTTAATGATCTTTGGGTCAACAATGAAATCAAAATGGGAATTAAAAATTATTTGAACCAAATGATAATAGTGACACAACTTATCAAAACCTCTACAATACAGTAAAAGTGATACTAAAAGGAAAGTTTATAGCTTTGAATGCCTACATGAAAAAGTTTGAAAGAGCACAAATAGACAATCTAAGGACACACCTAAAGAAACTACAGAAACAGGAACAAATCAAACCCAAACTCAGCAGAAGAAATAAAATTGAAGAGGAGAGCAGAACTAAATAAAATTGAAACCAAAAAAATACAAAAGGTAAATGAAACAAAAAGTAAAAACTAGTTCTTTGAAAAGATAAACAAATTGATAGACCATTAGCAGTATTAACCAAGAAAAGAATAGAGAAGATCCAAATAAGTTCAATTAGAAACAAAATGGGATATATTAAAACTTATACCACAGTGATATGGTTTTGCTGTGTCCCCACCCACATCTCATGTTGAATTGTAACTCTTAAAATTCCCACATGTCTTGGAAGGAACCCAGTGAGAGGTGATTGAATTATGGGGGAAGGTCTTTCCCATGCTGTTCTCATGATAGTGAATGAGTCTCACAAGATCTGATGGTTTTAAAAATGGGAGTTTCCCTACACAAGCTCTCTTTACCTGCCATCATCCACGTAAAACATGACTTGCTATTTTTTGCCTTTCACCTTCTGCCATGATTGTGGGGCTTCCCCAGCCATGTGGAACTGCAAGTCCAATAAACCTATTTCTTTCGTAAATTGCCCAGTGTTGGATATGTCTTCATCAGCAGCATGAAAACAGACTAATACAATAGATTGGTATCAGTAGAGTTGTCCACTGCTGAAAATATACCCCAAAATGTGGAAGCGATTTTGGAACTGGGTAACGGGCAGAGGCTGGAACAGTTTGGGGGGCTCAGAAGAAGACAGAAAAATGTGGAAAATTTGGAACTTTCAAGAGACTGTTAAATGGCTTTGACCAAAAAGCTGATAATGATATGGACAATGAAATCCAGGGTGAGGTGGACTCAAATAGAGATGAGGAACTTGTTGGGAACTGGAGCAAATGTGAGTCTTCTTACGTTTTAGCAAAGAGACTGGTGGCATTTTGCCCCTGCCCTAAAGATCTGTGGAACTTTGAGCTTAAGAGAGATGATTCAGGGTATCTGGCAGGAGAAATTTCTAAGCAGCAAAGCATTCTAGAGGTGACTTGGGTGCTGTTAAAGGCATTCAGCTTTAAAAGTGAAGCAGGGCATAAAAGTTCAAAGAATTTGCACCCTGACAATGTGATAGAAAATTCTATTTTCTGAGGAGAAATTCAAGCTGGCTGCAGAAATTTGCATAAGTAACGAGGAGCCAAATGTTAATCCTCAAGACAATGGGGAACATGTCTCCAGGGCATGTCAGAGGTTTTCACAGCAGCCCTTCCTATCGCAGGCCCAGAGGCCCAGGAGGAAAATATGGTTTCATGGACCGGGCCCAGGGTACCCATGCTGTGTGCAGTCTAAGGACTTAGTGCCCTGTGTCTCAGATGCTCCAGCTGTGGATGAAAGGGGCCAATGTAGAGCTCAGGCTATGGCTTCAAATGGTGCAAGCCCTAAGCCTTGGCAGCTTCCATGTGGTGTTGAGCCTGTGAGTGTACAGAAGTCAAGAATTGGGGTTTGGGAACCTCCTCCTAGATTTCAGAGGATATATGCAAACACCTGGATGCCTAGGCAGAAATTTGTTGCAGCGGTTGGGCCCTCGTGGGGAACATGTGCTAAGGCAGTGCGGAAGGGAAATATGGGGTTCAGAGCCTCCACGCTGAGTCCCTACTGGGGCACAGCCTAGTGGAGCTGTGAGAAGAGGGCCACTGTTCCCCAGACCCCAGAATGATAGATCCACTGACGCTTGCCCTGAGTGCCTGGAAAAACTGCAGACACTCAACACCAGCCTGTGAAAGCAACCAGGAGGGAGGCTGTACCCTGCAAATCCACAGGGGTGGAGATGCCCAAGACCATGAGAACCCATCCCTTGCATCAGTGTAATCTAAATGTGAGACCTAGAGTCAAAGGAGATCATTTTGGAACTTTAAGATTTGACTGCCCTCCTGGATTTTGGACTTGCATGAGGCCTGTAGTCCCTTTGTTTTGGCCAATTTCTCTCATTTGGAACAGCTGTATTTACCCAATGCCTGTAACCCCGTTGTATGTAGGAAGTAAGCAATTTGCTTTTGATTTTACAGGCTCATAGGTGGAAGGGACTTGCCTTGTCTTGAATGAGATTTTGGACTGTGGACTTTTGAGTTAATGCTGAAATGAGTTAAGACTTTGGGGGACTGTTGGGAAGGCAAGACTGGTTTCGAAATATGAGAACATGTTTGGGAGGGGCCAGGGGTGGAATGATATGATTTGGCTGCGTCCCCACCCAAATCTCATCTTGAATTATAACTCCAACAATTCCCATATATTGTGGAAGGAACCCAGTGGGAGCTGATTGAATTATGGGGATGGGTCTTTTCCATGCTGTTCCCATGATAGTGAATGAGTCTCATGAGATCTGATGGTTTTAAAAATGGGAGTGTCCCTGCACAAGCTCTCTTTGCCTGCTGCCATCCGTGTAAAATACAACTTGCTACTTTTTGCCTTTCACCTTCCACCATGATTGTGAGGCCTCTCCAGCCATGTGGAACTGTAAGTCCAATAAACCTCTTTCTTTTTAAATTGCCTAGTCTCAGGTATGTCTTTATCATCAGCATGGAAATGGACTACTTACACAGAAATACAAAAAAAATTATGTAAGGCTATTATGAACACTTTTGCATTCACAAAATAGAAAACCTGCAGGAGATCAGTAAATTCCTGGAAATATACAACCCTCCTGGATTAAATCAGGAAGAAATAGAAACTCTGAACATACCAATAACAAGTAGCAAGATTGAAACAGTAATAACAAAATTACCACCAACAATGAAAAGCCCAGGAGCAGATGGCTTTACAGCTGAATTCTCTCAGGCATTCAAAGAAGAATTGGTACCAATCTTACTGAAACTGTTTCAAAAAACAGAGAAAGAGGGAATCCTCACCAAGTCATTTTATGAAGCCAGTATTACCCTAATAGCAAAAGCAGAAAAGGACATAACAAAAAAGAAAACTACAGACCAATATCCCTCAAGAACAGAGGTGCAAAAATCCTCACCAAAATACTAGCTAATCAAATGCAAAAGCGTATCAAAAGGTAATCCAGCGTGACCAAGTGGGTTTCATAAAAGGTCTGCAGGGCTGGTTAAACATACAGATGTCAATAAGTGTGATATACAACATAAATAGAATTAAAAAAAACATGACCATCTCAATAGATGCAGAAAAAGCATATGACAAAATCCAGCATCGTTTTATGATTAAAACCCTCAGCAAAATTGGTATAGAAGTGACATACATCAATGTAATAAAAGTCACCCATCACAAACCACAGCCAATATTATATTGAACAGAGAAAATTTGAAAGCATTCCCTCTGAGAACTGGAACAAGACAAGGATGCCCACTTTTACTGCCTCTATTCAACATAGTACCGAAAGTCCTAGCTAGAGCAATCGGAAAAGAAAAAGAAATAAAGGGCATCCAAATCAGTAAAGAGGAAATCAAACTGTCCCTGCTCACTGATGGTATGATTGTATATCTAGAAAACCCTGAAGACTCATTTAAATTTTGATCCATTCTAGATCTGATAAATGAATTCAGTAAACTTTCAGCGTACAAAATCAATGTACACAAATCAATAGCACTGCTATATGCCAACAATCACCAAGCTGAGAATCAAATCAAGAACTCAACCCCTCTTGCAATAGTTGCAAAAAAATAAAATACTTAGGATTATACCAACCAAGGAGGAGAAAGATTTCTCCTAGGAAAACTACATAACACCACTGAAGGAAATCAGAGACAACACAAGCAAATGGAAACACATCCCATGTTCATGGGTGGGTAGAATCTATATGTGAAAATGGCCAAACTGCCGAAAGCAATCTACAATTTCAATGCAACTGCCATTAAAATATCATCATCATTCTTCACAGAGCTAGAAAAAACAATCCTAAAATTCATATGGAACTAAAAAAGGCCTCACAAAAGCAAAGCAAAACTATGCAAAAAGAACAAATCTGGAGCCATCACATTATTCACCTTCAAACTATACCATGAGGCTGTATTTACCAAAATAGCATAGTACTGGCATATAAATAGGCATTTAGACCAATGAAACTGAATAGAGAACCCAGAAATAAAGCCAAATACTTACAGCCATCTGATCTTCAACAAAGCAAACAAAACCATAAAGTGGGAAAAGGACACCCTATTCAACAAATGGTGCTGGAATAATAGGCAAGCCACGTGTAGAAAAAGGAAGCTAGGTGCTCAACTCTCATCTTATACAAAAATCAACTCAAGATGGATCAAAGACTTAAATCTAAGACCTGAAACCATAAAAATTATAGAAGATAGCATTGAAAAAAGTCTTCTAGACATTGGCTTAGGCAAAGAGTTCATGACCAAGAACCCAAAAGCAAATGCAACAAAAATAAAGATATAGAGAGGAGATCTAATTAAAATAAAAGGCTTCTGCACAGCAAAAGAAATAATCAGCAGAGTAAACAGACAACCCACAGAGTGGGAGAAAATCTTCACAAACTATGCATCTGACAAATGACTGATATCCAGTATCTACAGGGAACTCAAACAAATCAGCAAGAAAAAAACAGACAATCCCACCAAAAAGTGAGCTACAGACATGAATAGACACTTCTCAAAAGAAGATATACATACAAATAGCCAACGAACATGAAAAAATGTTCCACATCACTAATTACAAGGTAAAAGCAAATCAAAACAACAATGCAATACTACCTTACTCCTGCAAGAATGACCATAATCAAAACATCAAAAAATAATAGTTGTTGGTGTAGATGTGGTGAAAAGTGAATACTTTTACACTGCTGGTGGGAATGTAAACTAGTACAACCACTATGAAAAACAGTGTGGAGATTTCTTAAATAACTAAAAGTAAATCTACCATTTGATCCAGAATCCCATTACTGGGTATCTACCCAAAGGAAAAGAAGGCATTAAATGAAAAAGATACATGCACACACATGTTTATAGCAGCACAATTTGCAATTGCAAAAATATGGAACCAGACCAAATGTCCATCAACCAATGAGCAGATAAAGAAAATGTGGACTAGTTAGATAGATAGGTAAATAGATAGATAGATAGATAGATAGATAGATAATTAGATAATTAGATAGATAGATAGATAGATAGATGATAGATAGATCATGGAATATTGCTCAGCTATAAAAATGAACAAAATAATGGCATTCACAGCAACCTGGATAGAGCTGGAGACCATTATTCTAAGTGAAGTAACTCAGGAATGGAAAACCAGACATCCTATTTACTCACTTATAAGTGGGAGATAAGATATGAGGATACAAAGGAATAAGAATGATATAATGGACTTTGGGGATTTGTGGGGAAGTGTGTTGGGGGGGTGATGATTAAAAGACTACACATTGGGTGCAGTGTACACTGCTTGGGTGAAGAGTGCACCAAAATCTCAGAAATAACCACTAAAGCACTTTACCTTGCAACCAGGCACTACCTATTACCCTAAAATTATTGAAATAAAAATAAATAGAAGTAATAAATGAAAACAAATAAAAAGTAGATTCAAGTAAAATTTAATACAATGTAGACAATAGTAAAATGTAAATACAATAGTGAACACAACTCGCTTCTCTTGGTGTTACACATCTTTGCTATGCCATGTATTTTCAGGTTTTGAACTATGCTTCTAAGCACATTTATTTCCCAATTAGGTTGAAGAGTTTAATTTCTCTTCATACACAATAGTTGTGACTTGAGGTTTATACACTGAATAAAGACCATCAATCTGCCAAAAAAATATGTAGTGGAATATATCAGAAAACTCAATATGAAGGGTAAGAAATAAGTATTTCAAAAGATAAATAGGAAATCTAAAAAACTGGAAAGCATAATATCAATAAAAATATCAAAGGATAAACTTAAAAGTAGTTTGTACATACAAGGGGAAGAAACAGAAAATGTGAGGAGTAGATCAATGGAAATTTTCTTAAGTCAAACAGAGAGAAAAGAGATTGTAGAAAATGAAAAGAATCAACATCATGAGGGAAAACATTAAGCTGTCTGACATGATTGTAACCAGGGACTCATATAGAGAAGAGAAATAAAATGGAGCAGAAAATAATTGAAAAAGAGCAGGAAGTTTTCAACTTTGAACAAAAACAGCAACCCACCAACATAAGAAGCACTTGTTCTCTAGCTACAGGTAGTGACATATGTGGGCTGTTTCAGGTCCGTTCTGCCACTACTCACCTGCCCACCGATATTCAAGTATTCCTGCCACAGCGAATCTTGAAGGAAACTATAGATCCATGTCAAAAACATGTGGTCCAACTGAGGATTGAGGCACTTATCCACTCTGCTTTCATATCTCCCTTGTTATGACTCTTTTACTTTGAAAGTGAAGCCTCCTCAGGATTGTTTTTGAAGATCTACACCAGTAAATGATATTCTCTTCACTTTTATCTCCTGCCCTTCTTTTTTCTAGACATATAGGGAAAAAGGCCTACTGTTTATCTCCTAATTTTTTCAAAGCTATACTTTTATAGAGCGATAATCAAGCTCTTATAACCCCCCCCAAAAAAACCCAAACAAACTAAAGACTCTTTTTGTTTAGACCATATTTGGTGGCAACAATATCTATACACAATATCTATATAGAAATAAGTAGGTGTGGCTAGCTTGGTATAACATAGCTACAATGTATATTCATTTATGATAGCTTTTACTGTGGACTCTGTTTGCATAGTCATCTGGTTTGTCTATATCAATAAGGCGACTGGGATGGGGGTTGTTACTGCAGTGCACCTTAAAGTCACCCCTGAAGACCGCCACTTCTGTTTTTTTGACTTGTCTTCCATACATAAAGAAAATGTGAAATAATTAAAATTAAATAGCTGCATATTGACTCATTCCCTTCTATGATTCCGAAGTAACACCCTTACACTGATGACAATGTGCTTTTAATGCCCCAGCTCTGTGGTCTGAAGAAGAGTTGTGGATAAAACACAGAGAGGGGGGATCTGAGAAGAGATAGGAATCAGGAAAGGAAGAAAAGAAAAGGGGGAGAGAAGAAAAGAGGGAAAAGGAGGGGAGGAGAGGAGAGCAGAGAAAAGAGAATGAAAATATTCACATGCAAATATACCAATTTAGTTGCATAGAAACCGGCATCATCTTGCTGTCACAAACCTACTGTTAGAAATCCAACCTGAATTCATAAAAAGATGACCTATAAAAGCATGTGGTATACATGTTTTTCAGAGCAGGTGACCTGTGAGTAGCACTGGGACAAATAATCCAGTCCTAAAGCAGAGACTTCCTATTTTACATTGATAAAATAAACCCACAAACAACAACAAAACACTGATAGAAAGAAGAAATTCATGGCTAAGTCCTAGACAAGTATGATGTTTTTACTAACTGAATATGCATTAGAATGAGAATGATGCCTTTTTTATTTTATTTTATCATTTTTCTACTCTTTTCTCCTTTAAATACATGCTGCAATGTAGCTAGTTATTATGGCAAGACTAATTATGTTTAATGACTCCAGAAACCTGTGACTAATCTTGCTCTTATTGTGTCAAAGAAAAGAACAGCTTAAATTCACCCCTTGCTTATTTTCTTCACTCTGTATGTGTTGTCTTTTCTCATAAGCAGTTTGAGTGTTGAGGCAGGGACAGGTTTTATTTGGTTGAAAGGCATCCAATAATCTGTGCAGTAACTCTGAAACATTGGATACTCATCAACCAAGCAGAGGGATAAAAGACTTTCTTTTCAGAACAGAACATAATTCATCATCACAAACTATCACAAGCAGTTCATAGGAAATCAACACAGTCCTCAAGCCAATACCTGCTTAACATTATCTCTAGTCTGTTTCTCCCAGGAAAAGAATTACATAGGACTTGGGGATACTGAACACAGCAAAATAAAGGAATCACACTGTAAAAGATACTGGTTCCTTCAACTCAGGATTCTGTTTTTTATAATGCTATTGGGGCGAGTTTTTAGGGTGTGTGATGATTTTTCTCTGATGTCTATATAAAAACACTAGTTCCAGTTGGACGTGGTGGCTTACACCTGTAATCCCAGCACTTTGGGAGGCCAAGGTGGGTGGATCACCTGAGGTCAGGAGTTCAAGACAAGCCTGGCCAACATGGTGAAACCTCGTCTTTACTAAAAATACAAAAATCAGCTGGGTGTGGTGGCACGCACCTATAATCCCAGCTACTCGGGAGGCTGAGGCAGGAGAATCGGCTTGAACCCAGGAGGCAGAGGTTGCAGTGAGCCGAGATGTGCCACTGCACTCCTGCCTGGGCCACAGAGTGAGACTCCGTCTCAAAAAAAATAAATAAATAAAAATACTAGTTCCTATGTTAATTGAATGAGCTTAAATATTCTTCATATAGCATGAACAAAAAGTTATGGACTGCTCTGCCCCTGATGCCTAATGAAAAGGCCTTGTAAATGTCACTCAAATAAGTTTATAAATAAAAATGAAAACTATGTATACATTTTATTATATTCTAGTTTTAGTTTTCTCTTGTCAATAATTTTAAGAGAGTTTCAGCTATGGATAAATACATTCTGAGGAATTTCATTTTTAAAAGAAAGCTACAAGTGGTTACTAGTCATTTTTATGGAAGAGTTAGAGTAGACCACTATTACAGATCCAATAAACTCATGTTATAGATTTTTCAAATAATAAAATTTGAAATGAATTATAGAGGTTTAGGCATAATTATATACAAAGCAAAAATACAAGTAACCAGTTTTTTTTTTTAATGGTAAAAGACTTGAGCAGATACTATAGAAAAGGATACCAAATGATCAGTAAACATAAAAAGACACTTTTATTAGAGATCAGAAGAAAATGCCAATTATAACTATAATTCAATATAACTACGGGCCTAGAAGAATGGCTCACATAAGAGAAAATACTAGGTATTGATGAATATGTAGAGCAACTAGAATTCTCATAAATTTCTGGTAAGAAATAAAAATTGGTACAACTACAATTGAAAATTATGGCGGATCTGCCAGAAGTGGCTAGTGCATACTCTATAAATTCAATCTCATTCCTGGGTTTATATTCAATAGGACTGTATACTTATGTTCACCAAAATACAAGTAAAAGAATATTCATAGTAGTACTACTTGTAATTGCATGGAAGCATGGAACAAAATGAACAAATGCCTACAGACATTAAAATGGATAAAGTTGTATGTTCACCGAACAGAGTATTATGAGCAATAAGAACAAACAAATTATAGCTACAACTGACAATATGAATGAAACACAGGCACAATATTGAGTGAAAGGAGTCATACACAAGTAAATGTGGTATAATTTTATTTACATAACATTTGAAAACAGTATATATAGTATGAAAAGTCAGGATAGTGGTGATCTTGTGTGGAGGGAAAATGAAAGTTTCTGACATGCTGGTAAACTGGGTGCTTGTTACATGGGTGTACAATCAAGATGTACAATTACAAGTGTGCCCTCCCTTGATGTAGATAACAAGTCAATAAACTGCTTCAAATATGTAGGCATCTGGCCTTCACTTTTGTATCAAAACAATTGTGTTCTTAGTACAGTTTTGTTTTTGTTTTGGGTTTTGCACAAAATAATAGACCAAAAAATTATGATTTTATCTGATTCAGTTTACTATGTTCCCATTAGACTTTATATGAATTGGGAAACATTATGATTTTGCACATTAATTTCTGTGTGCATGCAAAAAAAATACACCCTGTAATATAACACTGTAAGTTAACAAGTGGAAACACAACAAGTAGTCAAGAACTCACTATTTCAATCACAACTTTTCTATAAGCAGTATTCTTCTGAGTAGTCATTGCATATTATTGTATCATTGGAAGGGATCTGAGTTGTGGGTTGGTGAGTTGTATACATTGGTGAGTTGTAAGCTTGACAACTGTGCTCAATAATATACACTGGTTTACTGAACACAGTGGAACTGCCTGTGGTAACTGATGGTATAATGATTTATTTTGTATTATGCATTGTCAGTAATGAAGTCTTAAATTTGTTATCCCAAGGGCCAGATATGATGTGCAGACATATTTTGCTTGGCTCTCAATGTGTTTCAAAGTAAGTGGAGAGAACATTTGATAAATCTAGGATATCCACATTTTTTAAGAAAAATCAATATTTTTAGTCTTTCCTGAAATAGCACACAGTTTGGCATCACTAGGCCCATATTCCCACAAAGTAAAAGATGCTTAATATGAATAACAACTTCCCTCTACTGAGAGAGTGCAATGTGCAATTCATTTCAAAACATTCTCCAACACTTCTTAATAATTAACTCGCCAGCAGTGATGCCAAAAATCAGTTATCATTTATTGTTTTCCTTGAACAACTATATTTTTATGGTAGGAAAATATTTCTCTGCAACAAACTCCCTATCACAACTAGAAAAATAAAATTTAGACTTAGAGGCTGCATATTTTAGGGAAGATTGGTGAACACGCTTTCAAGTGAAGAATTTTAAAAAGTTGTATGCAAAACAGATGCCATTTGTCTTAAACTAAGACTGTTTCATTCACTTGTAATCTCTTTGGCTTCTAGAAAGAGTTAAGTGTTTTATTTTTGTTCTTCACAAATCTCCTATACCTCGCAAGGGATACACTCGCTCTGACTCAAATGAGTTTCTGAAGAGACATATAGAGGAGAAAGTATAATCACAAAGAATGTGAGATGCTCCCCCTTTTGAAAATATGAAAAATAAAGAGAAATCTGGAGCAACCCAAAGAGACATTGAAAGACAATAGAAGTTTATTCACAAATTACTGTAGAAAAACAGTTTTGCCTAAATTTGTCCACCAATTCAAGTTAAATGATTGGTATATATTGAGAGTACAAAGTTACAAAATCTCCTGCAGGTAAACAAGAGGAAAGACTGAAGGTAAATATAAAAGTTTGTAAGAGTATGTCATGAAAACAGCAATTCACTCTGTGTGTATGGCACCATAAACATACTTACTCACATGTTTACTCTGATCTAGAATTTCTGCACAAATCAATTGAGTGTGAGCATGAGGTCTGGCAATCAGAAACCTGTCAAATTTCTGTACCATGTGCTCTTATAGTCACCTTAATTAAAAGTATCCTCAGACCTTCACCCTTAATAAGAAAGCCCTAAGGTCCTGGGGACAAACTTGCTCATTATGTTAGGACCCACCGTTTAGGGACGTACCAATAACAAATAATAATAATAATATTCCTTTAGGTATTGTAATACCATGAAGTCTGATTGAAAACTGTCTTTCCGGATGTATTTAAGTACAAGCACGAATCCAGAAGAAAAGAAAAGTTTGTTTTTTTATATTGCTCATGAATAATTTAAGTAAAAATGCAAATGTTTTAAATTATAGTTTTCTGTAACAATTGATTAAATCCTATTTTGCGTGCTTTGTGCTGGTACAAAGTTAAACTTTGCCCAGGGTTGCAAAACTAATATCCAGTGAACACTCTGTGTTCTAACATAGGACTTTACCTCAACTGGAAATTACTTTTTTGTGTCATTTTTACTCCTTTTGCAGTATCAGGGTAGAGTGGGGTACACAATGGCAGTGAAATACTATGTGAAAGGAAAATAAAATCTCAGGATCCTAATCTCACTCTGCCAAAGGGAAACATTAACATTATCCATTTTGTTCCTAAATAGATAGCTGCAAAGATAGAAGCCCATGTATCTCCGCAGGTGACCTCCCTCCTGAATTGCTCACAAGGAAATCCCTTTTGGGCCTCAAAATCTTTACCCTAAAACAGAGTTCTGTTGAATTTCACCCTGATAATGTAAATTAACAGCTTATCCTTACAGTTGTAGGACAAAGACAAGACTAGAAATCATCCCTCTTCCTACCTCAAGACAAATGCATATTTGACTTTTCTCTACTCTGTTTCCTTTTAGCTTACATAAAATACAGATTCACTGAGTAAGCCATGAGATGAATGTGTAACTGACTGTTCCTCTACTCTCTCTTTTCACATGGATTCAGTGAGCACTAATCAAAGTCTCACAAAAATGTGACCACTTATCTCACTACCTACCCTCCCTTTTGTATCTAATATGGTTTAGCTTTGTGTTTCCACCCAAATCTCATCTTGAATTGTAATCCCATAATCTCCATATGTTGTGGGAGGAACCTAGTAGGAGGTAATTTAATCATGGGGGCAGTTTCCCCCCATGCTATTCTCATGACAGTGAGTGAGTTCTCGTGAGATCTGATGGTTTTATTAGGGGCTTCTCCCTTCGCTTGGCACTCATTCTCTCTCCTGGCACCCTGTGAAAAAATGCCTTTCGCCATGATTGTAAGTTTCTGGAGGCCTCCACAGCCATGTGGAACTGTGAGTCAACTAAACCTCTTTTCTTTATAAATTATCCAGCCTCAAATATTTCTTCATAGTGGCATCAGAATGGACTAATACAGTATCTTTCCTTTTTCCCCCCAAGCCACTCTTTCCCATTTAAATATTGTAGTCTTCAAAACCCTCTTTGGAAAAAGCAGGGGCCACAGATCCTATGGTGACTTGTGTCTTATTTTCCCAGGTATGTCTTCAACCTTGAAAAAATAAATCTCTAAATTGATTGACACCTGTCTCAGACACTTTTTGGTTTACAGCCACAAAGAGGAGTTTTATTTCTGGGCATTCCTTCATCTTGATTCCTGTATAGGAGAAAAATAATGACTTTTTTACTGAGGGCAAAGCTTACGTGCAAAATTACTTGAGCTGAAGCAAAGAAAAGCCACAGTGATGGTAGAGCCTAGAAAACAGTAACTTGATTGCTTTGATTAAAGTGTGTGGAAAATTACTCATAAGATTAGTGGGAGAGGTGCATTTAGATTTAAATTCCATCAAAACGAAACAAAACCAGCCTTTAAAAGTCATCCATGCTGATTAACATTTACAGAATTCTTCTACATTAGCAGAAATCTTATTTGAATCTAAGGACTTCATTTTGGACTTATCTCCTGAAGTGTATATTAATTGAAGGCTAGAAACTGAGATTTGACTTGTCAACCAAAAATTACACTGGAAACACAGGTAAGGAAGACTTTATTCAATGACTTTATTCAATACTATTTCTTTTTTTTTTTTTTTTTTTTTTTGGAGACAGAGTCTTGCTTTGTTGCCCAGGCTGGAGTGCCGTGGCGCAATCTCGGCTCACTGCACCCTCGGCCTCCCGGGTTCAAGTGATTCTTCTGCCTCAGCCTCCCGGGTAGCTGGGACTGAAGGCACGTGCCACCATGCCCAACTAATTTTTGTATTTTCAGTAGAGACAGGGTTTCGCCATGTTGGCCACACTGGTCTTAAACTCCTGACCTCATGATCCAATCTCCTCAGCTTCCCAAAGTGCTGGGATTACAGGCATGCGCCACCACGTCCGGCCTCAAGACTATTTCAGTAGGGGAAAGAGACTAGAATTGAGTCTGAACTCCACTGAAACAAAGGTAGTAGGGCTTTCCAAAGATGGGGTGATGGGGAGATAGGCTGTCTAAGTTTGCTGATTGACTTTACCCAGAGAAAATGTAGACTTTCTGGTATCTTCAGGAGAGCAAGTGGTTTTACAACTAAGTGCCTTCTGGTGTTGAGCTCCTACCCTCCCTCAGAAACTGGGAGATAGGGGTCCTGTCTTCTTTCATGACAACATTTCAAAAGATGTCTTCCAGGTCCATGAGAAAGGCAGTTCTGAGTTGTAAAACTGGCAAGATACTATTAAAAAAATTTACATCTCAAACAGCAGAGAAGTGTTTTTAATAATAAGTTTTCTAAAATAAGTATTCTAAGAAAAGGGAAGTCATGGGTCTCGAGTCAGGATGAAGCCTGTCTAAAGTTCGGCCAATATTAGTGAAAGGTCAAGGCTGCCTTGATCAGATTCCAGAAACACCTGGGTTCAACTTGTATTATTCTGTTAACCTCATAGAGAGTTATTATTGCTTCTCATTATTCACATGAGCACACCAAACAATAAAGCACGGATTGAGCATTAAAATGCTTCATAGCAGTGCCAAAGGTGTATATGTCATAGTTCTTGTTCTTAAAACTATCCGTCTAATTGGTAAAGCAAGAGTTCCATAAAGGTATTTTAACTTTGAATATTTGATGTTTGGCCTTAGATATACTACAAACTAGTTTTCTCATCCATGAAAGGCAGTGCTGTTGTACAAGTTAAATAAAATAAATTTAACTTAAAAACAGATACTTATAAAAACCTATTTTTTGAAAAATTTGGTGGGCAGACTATTGTGCTGCCACCATCCTTATCTTCCATGATCCCCACCTTCTGATGTTCATGATTTTGTGTAATTCTCTTTCTTTGAGTGTGGATAGGATGGGTGACTTGCTTCTAACCAACATGGCAAAAATGATGGGATGTTCTTAAGATTCCCTATGCTGGATTGATAAAATAAACAGCAATATGTAGAGGAACTTGTGGCTCCTAGGAGCTGAAGGCAGCCTCTAGTGACAGAAGTGGATTCCTCTGCATCTCCCAACTACTTGTGGGACTGGGAATATGTGACTAGCTTGCTGAGCCTCAATTTACTCATGAAATGCAGGAAGTATGCCAAAGTGCCCATTCAGCTCTAGCAATCAAGGGCACTGTAAACATTGCAGAAGCTTAGAGTTTCAAAAATGTAGAAGTACGTATCTCTTTTCTATGCACAATTTAGTTAGTAAAAATGGCTTTAAAACTATTTAAGAAATGGGGAAAGGATCCCTTATTTAATAAATGGTGCTGGGAGAACTGGCTTGCCATATGCAGAAAATTGAAACTGGACCCCTTCCTTACACTTTATACAAAAATTAACTCAAGATGGGTTAAAGACTTAATTGTAAAACCCAAAGCTATAAAAACCTTAGAAGAAAATCTCAGCAATACCATTTAGGACACAGGCACGAGCAAAGATTTCATGACAAAAATGTCAAAAGCAATTGCAACAGAAGCAAGAATTGATAAATGGGATCTAATTAAACTAAAGAGCTTCTGCACAGCGAAATAAATTATCATCAGAGTAAACAGACAGAATGGGAGAAAATTTCTGCAATCTATCTATCTGACAAAGGTCTAATATCCAGAATCCACAAGGAACTTAAACAAATTTACAAGAAAAAAACAACTCCATTAAAAAGTGAGCAAAGGATATGAACAGACACTTCTCTAAAGAAGACATTTATGCGGCCAACAAACATATAAAATAAAAAGCTTAACATGACTGATCATTAGATAAATGAAAATCAAAACCACAATGAGATACTATCTCACACCAGAAACAAGAGATGCTGGCAAGGCTGTGGAGAAACAGGAACTCTTATACACTGTTGGTGGGAGGGTAAATTAGTTCAACTATTGTGGAAGACAGTGTGGTGATTCCTCAAAGACTTAGAACCAGAAATACCATTTGAACCAGCAATCCCGTTACTGGGAATATACCCAAAGGAATATAAATCACTCTGTTATGAAGATACATGCACGCATAGGTTTGTTGCAGCATATTCCCAGTAGCAAAGACATGGAATCAACCCAAATGTCCATCAAAGATAGCCTATGTAAAGAAAATATGGTACATGTACACCATGGAATACTTTGCAGTTATAAAAAGAAATGAGATCATGTTCTTTGCAGGGACATGCATGGAGCTAGAAGCCATTATCCTCAGCAAACTAACAAAGGAACAGAAAACCAAAGGCAGCATGTTATCACTTATAAGTGGAAACTGAACAACGAGAACACACGGACACGGGGAGGGGAAAAACACACATTGGAGTCTGTTGTGGGTAGAGGGGGAGGGAGAGCATCAGGATAGATAGCTAATGCATGCTGGGATTAATACCTAGGTGATAGGTTGATAGGTGTAGCAAACCACCATGACACACTTTTACCTATGTAACAAATCTGCACATCCTACATATGTATCCAAGAATTTAAAAATAAAACTTCCATGTTTACATTTCTCAATATGTCACTAATGTTATTTACTTTTTCACCAAGTATTTGATGCTATCTATGTGATTTATTTGATGGCTAATACTGCACTAGATAGACAAACTGAATATAGTATTGCTTAAAAACAAAAAGACCAGATTGTCAGTCACATCAAAATATAAAACAAAGAAGTATAAATAACTTGATCATGTTTATACAGAGTTAAAGGGGAAAAGCTGTTGCAAAATTTCTAGAAATGTGAGGCTTGTCTTGCACTAAGAATAAAAAATTGTCTTCTTGAAAGGTGTTATGAGATAAGCACACTCTTAAATGACTCTGAAATCATGAAGTGTTTAGTATTTATACCAGCTTATTCAAAATATATCTGTTTCAGAAACCCCAAAAATATTTTGACAAATCCAGGTCACATTGTCCTAAGTTTAAGTTTGTTTCTAAAACTTTTTATCCCAAGGTTAAATAATTTCTAAGATTTCAGTTTGCATTAGTTATATATCTACATTTTTAAACCAGTTACATCTTTCTTTCATATATATATATGTGTTTATGTATATATATGTGTGTGTGTATAAATATAATACAATTCAAATATTCAGTTATTTGAACCTTCAAAATCAAGTAAAAATATGTAGGTATATTTATTAGCAATCAGAAATATATCACTCTTCTTAATTATCATCATTTTCTTAATAATTTTATCAACATTCCATCAATGTTTTAGTAAACTGTTAATTTTAGAATAGTTTGATTTACAAAGATGTTACAAAAATAGTAGAGTCCTCATATAACCCGGGAACAGTTTGTTCTGTATTTAACATCTGACATCAGAAGAGTTCTAATAGACCAATATTGACACATTGTTAACTAAATTCTATACTCTATTCAGATTTCCTTAGTTTTTAACCTAATGTCCTTATTAAGTCCTAGTATTTCATCCAGTATACACATTGCATTTCATTTTCATGCCTCCTTAGGCTGCTTTCGGCTGTGACAGTTTCTCAGATTTCGTTTGTTTTTGATATCTTAACTCTTTTAAGGAGTACTGATTAGATATTTTGTACAGTATTCCTCAGTTTAGATTTGTGTGATGTTTTTCTCATGATTAGACTGTAGTTTTTGGTTTTCAGGAGGAAAACCACAGAGGTAAATTGACATTCTTATCACATCATATGAAGGGTACATAATATCAACATGAATTATCTCTGTTGATGTTGACCTTGATCTCCTATCAGCACTTGTCAAATTTCCTTTTTATGAAGTTATTTCCTCTGCCCTCCACCATACTGTACTTTCTGGAAAGAAGCCAGTATTCATAGTCCACACTTAAGGAGTGAGAATTTATATGCCATTTCCTGGAAGGCACAGTATCTACAAAAGTTTTATGAAATTCTTTTGTAGAGGAGACTTGTCTCTGCTCTCCCACATACCTACGTATCCAATCACTTATTTATATTTCTGATATGATTTGGATCTGTGTCCCCATATAAACTTCATATCGAAGTGTAATCCCCAGTGTTGGAAATGGGGCCTGGTGGGAGGTGATTGGATCATAGGAGCAGTTTCTCATGGCTTAACACCATCCCCCTTGGTGCTGTTGTGGCAATAATGAGTACTTGTGAGATCTGGTTGTTTAAAAGTGTGTGGCATCTCCCCCACCCACTTGCTGCTCTGACCATGTGACATGCGGGCTCCTGCTTCACTTTCTGCCATGATTGTAAGTTTCCTGAGGCCTACTCAGAAGCCAGGCAGATGCTGCCATGCTTTCTGTACAGCCGGCAGAATCGTGAGCCAACTAAACCTCTTTTCTTTATAAATTACCTAGTCTCTGGTATTTTTCTGTAGCAGTGTGAGAACTGACTAATACAATTACTAACTATTAAAAGATATTTATTTTTATTTTGGGTTATAATTCATTACCATTTGTCTATTTTGTTGCTTAAGTCATTCCATCTTTGGCCACTGGGAGCTCTTTCAGTTGGCTCTGGTGTCCCTTTGTTATAATCTCATCATTGTAGAGTTGTTTTTGTTTTTGTTTTCAGTACTTCCTTAATTTCTGGCACAAAAATATGCTTCTCAGCTGGCAGAGAAGAGAAATGTATGTGTGTATACTAATATATACACAGACATAAATATCTGTAAATATTTCTACATATATATATATCTGTAGCTACATTAAAGTAAACAGGAGTTCATCCTGGTGTCTCCAACTCTAATCCCATAAGACAGGGATTATTCTAGCCCTCTCTCATGTTTATCTGCAATCCTTCACTTCAGCAGTGATAAATCTGGTTCCCACTATCCACCAGTGATTTACGTAATTATTCAATGCCGGTGTGCAGGTATACCAATTTTAGAATTGTTAAGCTATACCCATGTTTTCCAGAAGATATTATTTCACTGCAAATTTATTACTTTAAAAAATCCTTGCCCCTAGAAGTTTCTGAGAGTAGAATGCTAGGAATTGTTTAACAATCTTCTCTGGAAAGGGTGGAGCCCTGATTTGCAATGTTTTCTGATTTCTATGGTGTAATTATTTCTATCATGGCCAATTAAAAGCTACGACTGTGATGTTACTGGAGTGGGTAAGGAATGCAAACATTCCCATGAGCCAGTACAAGCTGGCTCCATCACCACAAAATTGAATTGTACCGATTTGAAGACTACTAATGTAAACTATACTTATCTGAGTGCCATATGTCTTAAGTTCTAGTCCTGATTGGAAATAGTTTTCTGTGTAATCTTAGCCAAGTCTTTTAGTCAGAATGAATCTCTTTCTTTATCATGTGTAAAATAAAGGGAGAGAACGACCTGAATTCTAAAGTCTCTCCAGTTCTAATATTAAGTGATTTTCTTTAGAATCATTTGCCAACAGTTTAACACATGAAGAGGAGGTAAAGTTTAAACCACTGAATTATAATTCCCCATGTCACAAAATATTAGTAAAATAAATTTAAGGTAGTATAATGGTATTTATAAATAAAAAACCCATGGTTTTTAGATTGTTTTTGAGATAAGAAACTAAGGGGATCTGAATTCAATCTACTGGGATGAGAATGGACTATTGTATACAAGGAATCAGGTTAAAGCCATAGTCTTTTCTTTTCTCACATTATCAAGTTCTGTGGGATATACTATATGTACTGTTATGGTTAAATTACATGTTTCCCCTGCGCCATATTTATATGTTGGAATCCTAATCCCCAGTACCTCCAAATGAATACCTATTTGTAAATGGGGTTATTTCCAAATAAGATGAGATAATAGAATAGGGTGGGCTTATAATGGAACATGACCAGTATCCATATATAAAGATATTTGAACACAGACGTGTACACAGGTAGAACACCATATGAAGATAAAGACACAGATGGGCCGATGCTGCTTCTATAAGCAAAGAAGTGCCAAAGATTGCCAGCAAAACACCAAATGCTGGGATGGAGGTCTGGAGCAGATTATTCCTTCCTCCTGGCCCTGAGAAGGAATCAAACCTGACAACGTCTTGATTTTAGGCTTTTCGCCTCCAAAATTGGAGACAATATATTTCTATTGTCAAATCCATTCAATTTGTATGACTTTGTTATGGCAGCCCTAGTAAACTGATACCGATATGAAGGAACTCTCCGTATGTTCATTTTTTACAGATATATTTTTCACATTATATACTCCAGATCACAGTACCTCCTATTGGAAGAATAAAAATGGAAAAAGTCAGTATTGTCAAGATGCAATTTCTTCCTAAGTTGAATCAATACAATATCAATCAAAATCCAAGCATATTATTTTATGACAACAGATTAATTTTAAAGTTTATATGGGGAAGCAAAAGACTTAGATAACAAAATATTGAAGAAGAACAAAGTCAGACAATTAACACTAACCAACTTCAAGACTTACTATGAGCTACAATAAATAAGACTGTGGTATTAGAAAATAACAGACAAATCAAATACCCACCAAGAGACCACATATATAATCAACTATTTTTTGACAAAGGTGAAAAAGCAATGTGTTGGAGAAAGAATAGTCTTTTCAACGTATGTTGCTGGATATCCACATGCAAAAAAAAAGAGTACAGAAAGCAAGCAAGCAGGAAGAAACTATACACAGACTTAGTGCCTTTCACAAAAATTAACTCTAAATGAGCCATAGACCTAAATATACATTTTTAAATTATAAGACTCCTAAATAGTAACATAGGAGAAAATTTATATGACATTGGTTTTAACAACGACATTTTAGATACAACACCAAAGGCACAATCCATGAAGAAAGAAATGGATAAATTGCACTTTATTCAAATTCAAAACTTTTGCTCTATAAAGGACACTGTCAGGAGAAGAAGAAGATAACTCACAGACTGAGAGATAATATTTTTAAAATACATATATGATAGGATACTCTTTTGCAAAATATGCAAATATCTTAAAGCTCAACCATGAGAAAATGAATAGCCCAATTAAAAAATGGCCAAAAGACTGAAAAACACCTCACCAAAGAAGATATGCAGATGACAAATAAATGCATTACAAAGTTCACGTCATATGTCACTGGGGGATGGCAAACTAAAACAACAATGAGAGACCACTACACACCTATTAGAGTAGCAAAAATTCAAAACACTGACAACACCAAATGCTTGTGGGAATGCGAAACAACAGGAACTCTCATTCGTTATTGGTGGGAATGGAACAACATTCATGTACCAAAATGATACAACCACATTGGAAGACAGTTTCATAAAAAGAAAAAAAAAATACTAAACATAACCTTACCTTACTATTCAGCAATCACACTCCTTCATATTTATCCAAACTATTTTAAATATTTTACAGTAAAACCTCCACGTGGGTTTTTATAACACCTTCATTCATAATTGCCACAACTTGGAAGTTGCCAAGATGTCCTTCAGCAAGTGAATGGACACATAAACTGCGGTATAGTTTCCACTCCAAAAAGAAATTGGCTATCGGGCTTTGAAATATAGGAAGAATCTTAAATGCATATTATTTACTAAGTGGAAAAAGCTAAAGTGAGAAGGATACATGTCATTATACTTTAGTCAAAACTCATAAAATATAGGACATCAAAAGTTAACCTTAACGTGGACTATGGACTCTAAGTGATAATGATATGTCAATGTAAGTTCAGTGAATGTAACAAATGTGCTCCTGTGGTGTAGAATGTGGATAGTGAAGGATAATGTGTGTGTGTGTGTGCTGAATGGAGGAGGCAGCATATGGGAACTTTCTGTACTTTCTATTCAATTTTGCCATGAACCTAAAACAACAACAAAAAAACTAATTAAAATAATGGATAGGACCCTGCCCTCCCTGAAGGAATTTAAAACCTGGTTGGAATATACCAGCCAAAGTAGAAATATTTACTTGAAGTTTTTTGCTAGATTTCTCCAACTGATGATACACAAGATTGATTAATTTTTTTAAAAAAAGTCATTAATGAGAAAAGACAAGGATCAGTAAAGTAAGTGTTGAAATGGTGACTTAGATGGCATGAAAATTAAGAGGTTTTGGATGCATGAAGTATAGCAATGGGATTGGAGATACTGATCAATATGATTAATCAAATATTCTTAAGACTCAAAGTCCTGTCTACTTGTTTTCTAAAGTAATCACAAAGGATTAGAAATGTTGATAAACTCATATATACATCCATTCTAACAGACTCAAATTTAACTGGTGCTTATAAAGAAGCTATGAATTATCATATTCTATGGTAGGAGTTGGAGATAAAAGGATGAGCAAGACAGAAAATTTGTACATGGTTTTTGTTTGTTTTTCATCACTCATATGCTGTGGAGGACAGTAGATGCAGATGCCTCACCTTTCCTCTTCTTTCACTTCCTGTAATACACTGGATTGTAATGTATTCATTCCATATAGGTCACAACCCAGCTCATAGCTTGGCTGCCACCTTTCAATTGTCCACAAAAGTTCCAACCGTATGTGCCCTGAGCGCAGACAGGGTCAGTAGGCAATACTTGTCCCTATGGACAGTGGCCCTATCTTTTAACTGGGGACTCTTTTAAGGAGCTGTCATTATTACATACCTTGTAGCCTGGTCTAGATCCCATATATATAATGTATTTGTTAATTTTCAAAGTAATTACTCACTTACTTTTTCACTGCTTTATCACAGTGATTTATTACAATCCTGCCAAATAGACAATACAGTAATTATAATTTCTATTTTACTTATGAAGAATCTGAGTAAGAGAGAAATTAAATGGATGAGCAAAGATCACTAAGGTATGATATGAAGCTCAACAGGAATCTTTGATTTTTTTGTTCAATAGTCATTATATTCAGCTCACCATTTCTGAGATGTAGTTATGCAGCCTACATTCCACCTTTGGCCTTTTCCGAAAATGTGTGCTTTCTATGGGGATCATCTTTGAAATTAAGTTAATGATTCAATAAGTTAATGATTGAATAATGGTTAAGGATTCTTTAACATCCAAGTAATTCTTTTTAAATCACCAATGATCACCTCGAAATCAAGCAAAAAATTTGATGGGGTCAAGGGATGATGGGGTGAGACTTACTTTTGCAGTGTTATTTAATGCTGTCCAGTATATTCTGATTTTTTATTTCTGCTTTGCAATGTAAAATTAAATATATTTCCACATAAAGTTTGCTGTCTCTTATTTCCATAATGTCTTCACACTATTATAAATTTAAAATTTTATTCCCAACCTCCAACTTTAAGAAATGGCTTAGACTCTTATACGGTTTGCAATGCATTATTATGAAATTCTCTTCCAGCTTAATGTTTCTACAGTTTTTATCTTTATAATTTACTTTAAATCATCCTGGGTTTTCATAAATAAAAGTCGTTCCTTTTAGTACATCTATGATATCATCTTTCTTTCTGATCCATATACTCGTTGTGAATTCTGTTTTCCATCTAAATTGGTTCATATTTACTTATACAGAAATACAGAACTAAATGTATGTGTGAATGGCAGGGGTGGATTCTTGGAGGTGGACATGCATTTGAAATTTTCTTTAAGTTCCAATACGGACTTGTGATATGGAGTAATTTTACTTCTAAAACTTAAGTTTAAGAGAATGAGATTACCGCTTATAATTTTTCGTGGAAATTCTTTTAGATTACTTTGTGGATCTCTGCCTTGGGCTATCTGCTTCAAACTCCAGTTGTATTGTCCAGGTTCTGTTTCTGCACTTTGGAGTATAAAAGTGTCCACCAGTAAACATTACAAGAATGAAATTTATGTTAACTGGTAGGCTGTTACAATGACACTAAGCTGGATCATCCAGCAAAATTATTTGATAATAAGGAGCTCATGCATATCTTTTCCTGGAATTGGAAACTAAGCTTGTGCAATCATTTTTTGATACTCATAAAATAGCTTTAAACTGGGATTTTAAGAATGTTTCACAAATACTAATCCCTGTAACACCTCAACAGAGAATAATTATTTTAAGTGTTACTTCCTGAAAGGGACTAAGATATCATCCATTGGTGCCTCAAATTTCCAGAACTTGAAGCCAGCATAAAAAATACATTTTCTCTGCTTGTCATTCTCTAGTAACTCATTCTAATTAATGGGATGTAGTATTCTCTGTAAATGCCAGCCATCAGTCTGTGATTCTAATTCAAAAACAAACATTGAGAAATTCAATATTTCCCAAAAGAAAAGCAGATAATATATAAGAGATAAGCAATGAAATGTCTTCTCAAAGATTCAAGGGTGTACTGCTACAGACTGTTTTGAGAAATGTTTATTCTGTAGAATGTTTAACAAATCATTTGACAAAAAACTACCTTCAAAATTTATGATGTTGTTTACACTGATTATTTTATTTAATCATGTAGTTACCATAACATAGCAGTGAGCTATTCCCATCACCACTTCACAGGGAGAAAATCATGACGTAAAAACAAGAAATACATTTCTCAAGGTCTCAGTTAGTAAATTGTGGATCTGAGGCTTAAATCCAGGTCAGGTGAGCAAAAGATTTGGGTTCTTTTATTCTAGCATTCTGCTTTTCTATGAGAATATCCATCATTTATTGATTTCTTTAAAACTGTTCAGGCACTCAGTATTTTTATGTTCTCTACATTCTCAAATTTAATAGCTTAAGGTGAATAAGCAAAAGGAATCACAACTCAAACTCCATTCTCAGAACCATTTCAGAATACACAATTTAAAGCATATAGTCGAACAGTAAGTGATACATCACATATCTAGAGATTCTCTTACAACATTATGTAATAGAGGAAAGCAAATAACTAGTAAGAGCCAAAATACCCCCAAGTAATTAAAACTGGTGTCATCAGACTCATGTACTAAAAGTGTATTAATTATACATTTTGAAGAAATTTCCATCATATAGAAAGACATTTGTACTCTCTTGACATGTGATTCTGTCATTCTTCATGATTCTGCTTTTTTTAAACTTTTATTTTAAGTCCAGAGGAGTACATGTGCAGGATGCACACGTTTGTTACAAATGTAAATGTGTGTTATGGGGGTTTGTTGCACAGATGATTTCATCACCCAGGTATTAAGCCTAACATCCATTAGTTTTCCCGATTCTCTCCCTCTTTCCACCCTTGGCCTTCCAGCAGGCCCCAGTATATGTTGTTCCCTTCTATGTGTCAATGTGTTCTCATCATTTAGCTCCCACTTAGAAGTGAGAACACGTGGTATTTGGTTTTCGGTTCCTGCTTTAGTTTGCTAAGGATAATGGTCTCCAGCTGCATCCATGTCCCTGCAAAGGACATGATCTCATTCCTTTTTATGGCTGCATAGTATTCTATAGTGTATATAGACCACATTTTCTTTATCCAGTCTATCATAGATGGGCGTTTATGTTGATGCCATTTCTTTGCTATTGTGAATAGTGCCACAGTGAACATACACATGCATGTGTCTTTATAATAAGATGATTTATATTCCTTTGGGTATATATCCAGTAGTGGTATTGCTGGATCAAATGTTATTTCTGTCTCTAGGTCTCTGAGAAATCACCACACTGTCTTCCATAATCATTGAACTAATTTACACTCCTACCAACTCCTACCCTATAAGGGTTGGTTTTCTCCCCAACCTTGCCAGCATGTATTATTTTTTGACTTTTAATAATAGCTGTTTCTACTTGTGTGAGATGGTATCTCATTGTGGTTTTGATTTGTATTTTTCTTTTCTTTTTTTTTTTTTTTTTTTGACGGAGTCTCACTCTGTCACCCAGGCTGGAGTGCAGTGGCATGATTTCAGCTCACTGCAGCCTCCACCTCCTGGGTTCAAGCAATTCCCCTGTCTCAGCCTCCTGAGTAGCTGGAATTACAGGCGCCTGCCACCATGCCTGGCTAATTTTTGAATTTTTAGTAGAGACTGGGTTTCACTATATTGGTCATGTTGGTCAGGCTGGTCTTGATCTCCTGACCTCATGATCCACCCACGTTGGCCTCCCAAAGTGCTGGGATTACAGGCATGAGCCACCACGCCTGGCTGATTTGTATTTTCCTAATCATCAGTGGTGTTGAGCTTTTTTTCATATGATTATTGGGCACATGTATGTCTTCTTTTGAGACGTGTCTTTGCTCACTTTTTAATGGGATTATTTGTTTTTTTCCTTGTAAATTTGTTTAAGTTCCTTATAAATTCTGGATATTAGACCTTTGTCAAATGAATGGATTACAAAAATTTTCTCCTGTAGACTGTTTACTCTGTTGATAGTTTCTTTTACTGTGCAGAATCTCTTTAATTAAATCCCATTTGTCAATTTTTGCTTTCATTGCAATTGCTTTTGGCATCTTCATCATGAAATCTTTGCCCATGCCTATGTCCTAAATGGTATTGCCCAGGTTTTCTTCTAGGATTTTTATAGTTTTGGGTTTTATATTTAAGTCGTCAATCCATCTTGACTGATTTTTGTATGTAGTGTAAGAAAGAGGTCCAGTATCAATTTTCTGCATATGGCTAGTCAATTCTCCCAGCACCACTAATTAAATAGGGAATCCTTTCCTCATTACTTGTTTTTGTCACGTTTGTTGAAGATCAGATGGTTGTAAGTGTACAGTCTTATTCCTCGGTTCTCTGTTTTATTCCATTGATCTACGTGCTTGTTCTTGTACCAATATCATGATGTTTGGTTACTGTAGCTCTGTAGTATACTTTGAAGTTGGGTAGCATAATGCCTCCAGCATTGTTCTTTTTGCTTAGGATTGCCTTGCCTATTTGGACTCCTTTTTGGTTCCATATGAATTTTAAAATAGTTTTTTCTATTTCTGTCAATAATGTAAGTGGTAGTTTGATGGGAATAGCATTGAATCTATAAATTGCTTTGGGCAGTATGCTCATTTTAATGATGTTGATTCTTCCTATTCATGAGCATGATATATTCTTTCATTTGCTTGTGTCAGCTCTGATTTCTTTGAGCAGTGGTTTGTAGTTCTCCTTGTAGAGATCCTTCACTTCTCTTGTTAGCTGTATTCCTAGGTATTTTATTCTTTTTGTGGCTGTTGTGAATGGGAGTTCATTTTTGAGGTGTATAGGAATGCTAGTGATTATTGCACATTGATTTTGTATCCCAAGACTTTGCTGAAGTTGCTTATCAGCTTAAGAAGTTTTTGGGCTGAGACTATGGGGTTTTCTAGACATAGAATTGTGTTATCTACAAACAAAGATAGGTTGACTTCCTCTCTTCCTATTTGAATACTCTATTTCTTTCTCTTCAATATTCCGGCCAGAACTTCCAATACTGTGTTGAATAGGAGTGGCGAGAGAAGACATCCGTATCTTTTGCCAGTTTTCAAGAGGAATACTTCCAGGTTTTGCCCATTCAGTATGATAATGGCTGTGAGTTTGTCATATATGGGTCTTATTGTTTTGATGTTTGTTCCTTCAATATCTAGTTTATTGAGAGTTATTAATATGAAGGTGTGTTGAATGTCGTTTTTATCTTTAGTTCCGTTTATGTGATCAATCATGTTTACTGATTTGTTGAACCATGCGTTGAACCAACCTTACATCCTGGGGATGAAGCCTACTTGGTCATGGTGGATAAGCTTTTTTTTTTTTTTTTTTTTGAGATGGAATCTCACTCTGTCGCCCAGGCTGGAGTGCAGTGGCGCTATCTCGTCTCACTGCAAGCTCCACCTCCCGAGTTCATGCCATTCTCCTGCCTCGGCCTCCCGAGTAGCTGGGACTATAGGCACCCGCCACCACGCCCAGCAGATTTTTTGTATTTTTAGTAGAGATGGGGTTTCACCATGTTAGCCAGGAATGTCTCGATCTCCTGACCTTGTGATCCGCCTGCCTTGGCCTCCCAAAGTGCTGGGATTACAGGCGTGAGCCACCATGCCTGGCCTGGATAAGCTTTTTGAAATGCTGCCGGATTCGGTTTGCCAGTATTTTGTTGAGGATTTTTGCATCTGTGTTCATCAGGGATATTGGCCTGAAATTTTCTTTTTTTGTTGTTGTATCTCTGCCAGGTTTTGGTATCAAGAGGATGCTGGCCTCATAGAATGAGGAGGAGTCCCTCCTTTTCAATTTTTTGGAATAGGTTCAGTAGGAATGGTATAAGCTCTTCTTTGTAGATCTGATAAAATTCAGTGTGAATCCATCTGGTCTTGGGCTTTTTTGGTTGCTAGGCTATTTATTAATGCCTCAGTATCAGAATTTTTTATTCATCTGTTTAGGGATTCAATTACTTCCTTGTTCAGTCTTGGGAGGGTATATGTGTCCAGGAATTTATCAATTTCTTCTAGATTTTCTAGTTTATGTGCATAATGGTGTTTGTAATATTCTCTGATGGTTACTTTTATTTCTGTAGGGTCAGTGGTAATGCCTCCCTTATCATTTCTGACTGTGTTTATTTAAATCTTCTCTATTTTCTCCTTTATTAGTCTAGTGAACAGTCTATTTATTTTATTTTATTTTTTTCAGAAAACCAGCTTCTGGATTTGTTGATCTTTTGAAGGTTTTTATTTTTTGTCTCTATCTCCTTTAGTTCAGCTCTGATCTTGGATATTTCTTATCTTCTGCTAGCTTTCAGGTTTGTTTGCTCTTGTTTCTCTAGTTCTTTCAGTTGTGATGTTAGGATGTTGATTTGAGATCTTTCTAGCTTTTTGATGTGGGCATTCAGTGCTATACATTTCCCTCTTAGCACTGTTTTAGCTGCAGCTCAGAGATTCTGGTACAATGTTTCTTTGTTCTCATTAGTTTCATGGAACTTTTTTATTTCTGCCTTAATTTCATTATTTACCCAAAAGTCATTCAAAAGCAGATTTTTCAATTTCCATGCAGTTGTGTGGTTTTGAGTGAATTTATTAATCTTGGGTTTTTTGTTTTTTTTGTTTTTTTTTTGGAGACAGGGTCTCCCTCTTTTGTCCAGGCTGGGGTGCAGTGGTGCAATCTCAGCTCACTGCAACCTCCACCTCCTGGGTTCACTGATTCTCCTGCCTCAGCCTCCTGAATAACTGGGATTACAGGCATGTACCACCACAGCCTGGCTAATTTTTGTATTTTTAGCAGAGATGGGGTTTCACCATATTGGTCCTGCTGGTTTTGAACTCCTGACCTCAGGTGATCCCCCCACTTTGGCCTCCCAAAATCCTGGGATTACAGGCATGAACCACCATGCCCAGCCTAATCTTGAGTTCTAATTTGATTGTGCCCTGGTCTGAGAGACTGTTTTTATTATTTTAGTTGTTTTGCATTTCCTGAGAAGTGTTTTACTTCTGATTATCTGATCAATTTTAGAGTAAGTGCTGTGTGACAATGAGAAGAATATATATTCTATTGTTTTGGGTTGGAGAGTTCTGTAAATATCTGTAAAGTCCATTTGATCCAGAGCTGAGTCCAGGTCCTGAATATCTTTTTTAATTTTTTTCTCAATGATCTGTCTAATATTGTTAGTGGGGCATCAAAATCTCCTGCTATCACTGTGTGGGAGTCTAAGTCTCTTTGAAGGTCTCTTAAGAACTTCCTTTATGAATCTGGGTGCTCCTGTGTTGAGTGCATATATATTTAGGACACTTAGCTTTTCTTGTTGAATTGAACCCTTTACCATTGTGTAATGCCCTTCTTTGTCTTTTTTGATTTTTGTTGCTTTAAAGTCTGTTCTGTTAGAAACTAAGACTGCAACCTTTGCACTTTTTTTTTTTTCCATTGATTTGGTAAATTTTTTTCCATCCCTTTATTTTGAGCCTATGTGTGTCTTTGCATGTGAGATGGGTCTCAAAGACAGCATACCAATGGGTCTTGTTTTTTTATTGAGTTTGTCACTCTGTGGCTTTTAATTGGGGCAGTTAGCCCATTTACATTTAAGGTTAATATTGTTATATGTGAATTTGATCCTGTCAACATGACACTAGCTGGCTAATTTCACAGACTTATGTGGTTGCTTCAAAGTGTCACAGGTCTATGTACTTCAGTGTGTTTTTGTAGCGGCTGTTAAGTTTTTCCTTCCCATACTTAGTGCTTCCTTCAGGAGTTCTTGTAAGGCAGGTCTGGTGGTAACGAATTCCATCAGCACTTGCTTATCTGAAAAGGATCTTATTCTCCTTTGCTTATGAAGCTTATTTTGGCTGGATATGAAATTCTAGGTTGAAATTTCATTTCTCTAAGAATGTTGAATATTGGCCCCCAATCTCTTCTGGCTTTCAGAGTTTCCACTGAGAGGTCTACTGTTAGTCTTTGCAGGTGAGCTGGCCTTTCTCTCAGGCTGCCCTTAACATGTTTTTTTTTCATTTAGACTTTAGAGTCTTTAATAATTATGTGTCTGGGGGATGATCTTCTCATTGAGTATCTTACTGGGGTTCTCTGGATTTCCTGAATTTGGATGTTGGCTCATCTAGCTAGGTTGGGGAAGCTCCTCTCTATGATATCCTGAAATATGTTTTCCAAATTGGTTCCATTCTCCCTGTCTCTTTTAAGTACACCAATCAGTTGTGGAGTTGGTCTCTTCACATAATTTTATATTTCCTGGAGGGTTTGTTCATTCCTTTTCATTCTTTTTACTCTATTCTTGTCTGCCTGTCTTATTTCAGAAAGACAGTCTTCAAGTTCTGAGATTCGTTCCCCTGCTTGATGTACTCTGTTGTTAATACTTGTGATTGAATTGTGAAGTTCTTGTAGTGTGTTTTTCAGCTCTATCAGGTTAGTTATGTTCTTCTCTATACTGAATATTTTGGCTGTCATCTTCTGCATTGTTTTATCATGATTTTTAGCTTCCTTGCTTTGGGTTACAACATGTTCCTTTAGCTTAGTGAAGCTCCTTTTTACCCACATTTTGCAGCTTACTTCTGTCATTTCAGCCATCTCAATCTCAGTCCATTTCTGAACTCTTGCTGAAGAGGTGTTGTGGTCACTTGGAGAAAAGAGGACGCTATGGCTTTTTGAGTTTTCAGCATTCTTGCACTGATTCTTTCCCATCTTTGTGGGCTTATCTACCTTCAATCCTTGAGGGTGCTGACGTTTGGATGGAGATTTTGTGTTTTTTTTTTTTAATTTTGTTTGTTTGCTTTTCTATTAACAGTCTGGCCACTTTTCCATAGATCTGTTGCAGTTTGCTGGGGGTCTGCCATAAACCCTAGTCACCTTGGATTTTCCAGTACCTGGAGGTATCACCAGTGAAGGTTGTGAAACAGCTAATATGGCAGCCTGTCCCTTCCTCTGGGAGCTCCATCCCAGGGGGTACAGAACTGTTGCTGGCCCAAAAGCACCTGTAGGAAGTGACTGGAGACCCCAGATAGGAGATCCAACCCAGTCAGGAGGAAAGGAATCAAGGACCCACTTAAAGAAGCAGTCTGGCTGCATTTTGGTAAAGCAACTGTGCTGTGTTGGGGGATTCCTTCAGCCCCCAATCAGTTTGGGCTCTCCAAGGCTGAGATGCCCAAACAGCAGAGGTGGCAGCCCACCTCATCCCACTCCATCCCAGGGAGAAATCCAAAATCTTTCAGCCATAGAGCATGGGCAGGAGTGGCCGGATACCTCGACTGAGAGGTCCCACCCAGCAAGGAAGAACAGATCAGGGTCCTGTTTAAAGAAGCAATCTGGTCACACCTTGGCAAAGCAGCTATACAGTGCTGGGAAACCACTTCTGCCCCAGTTGGTTTGGACTTTCCAAAGCCTGCAGGCTGGAATGGCTGAGTTGTCCAAACAACAAAGGTGGCAGTCCTCCCCTCCCTCCAGGAGCTCCTTCCTGTCTCAAGTAGGCACGACCCTGTTGCCAGTGCCTGGCTAGAATTCCAATTCAGTCAGTCTTATCTTATGAGGTGCTGTGGAGGTGGGGCCCACCGAGTGACACTGCTTGGCCCCTGGATTCAGTCAGCTTCCTAGTGGTACGTACAGTCCTCCTGCCTTGCCTGAATTGCAGTCACCTTTGCTGGGCATCCCAGGCATGAATATTTACAACTCCTGGGTCTCTGTGCATGCCTCAGCAGCAGCTCTGCTGAGACTCCACACAGCTCTGTGTGTCAGACCCAGGGCCCTGATGGAGTTAGTTAATGAGGGGCTCTCCTGATCCAAGGTTGCAAAAATCCATAGGAGAAGCGTGGTTTCCCAGGTCATACATTCAGTTACCACTTTCCTTGGCTGGGGGTGGGAATTCCCTTGGCTTGATGTTGCTTTCAGGTAGGCTGTCTCCTTGCCCTCCTTTTCTTCATTCTTCATGGGTTGAGTAGTTTCCCTGAACAGTCCCAGTGTAAGTTCCTGGATGTTTCAGTTGAAGGTGCTGCATTTACTCACCCCTTTTGTTCCTCACTGTGAGTGCCACACACAATAGCTGCTTCTGATCGGCCATCTTGGCCCTGACTGATTCTGATTTTTTCCTTAATTTTAGGCAGATTAGAATCATAACTTTGGATAAAGGCAAGAATGCTCTTCTAGGTAGTGAAATGTTAAAAAGTGAGTTTATTGCAAAACTGGAAGGAAATGTATAAATTATATTTAGGGATACTCATGCTGAGTGCAGTGGCTTATGCCCATAATTCCAGCACTTTGGGAGGCCAAGGTGCCAGATTGCTTGAAGTCAAGAGTTTGAGACCAGCCTGGACCAAATGGCCAAATCGCATCTCTACAAAAGTAAATATAATTAGCCGGGTATAGTGGTGCATGCCTGTAGTTCCAGTTACTAGTGAGGCTGAGGTGGGAAGATCGCTTGAGCCCAGGAGGTTCAAGGCTGCGGTGAGCCGTGATCGTGCCAGTGCACTGCAGCCTGGGTGACAAAGCAAGACCATCTCAAAAATAATAAAAAAAAGATATTTAGGGATACTCATCTATATCTTATTTGGGAGCCTTTTGACAGAAAGGGAAAGAAATACATTCAATAAAATTTTTGAACATCACCGTGTAATTTAATTATTGATAACCTAATTATGGATTAAATTAATTTAATTATGATTATTCATAATTTAGTACTTTACAAATTAAGTTATTAATTTAATTATGAATATTCCTAAAGTGTACAAAATTCTAAGACCACCAAGATTTCCCTCTTCATGGTGTATATGTCCTATATAATCCCTGGGTCTGTAAGATGATGGTTTTACTCCCATGATTAGTTTATTTTATATGATATAGTTGACCTTAAAACAGGGAGACTAGCTAGGCATGCCCCAATCTCATAAAATAGAAGTTTTTCTCCAACTAGTTGAAAAAGAGAAAGTCAGAGAGAAATGCTGACTAATCTGGAAGAAAGCAAACATCCATGTATGAACTGCCTAAGGGGGTCACATGAAAAGAACTTAAAAATGACCTTCCTCTTCCCTTTTTCACTTGTTTCATTGAGGTAGTTAGCTGTGAAAAGTGTCAGTGATTGAACAGGATCTACTGGGCATGAAGCAAAGCAGGCTAAAAGCTAGGAGCCAGGAATATGAGCCATGTGAACTGTAACATGTGAGTGTGTTTCTGTCATGTCAGTCGTCCTCTGCAGTTAATCAATGTTATACCTCATGTCATTGCCCTGTAAGGATCTAGAAATGTCTTAGTCTAACATGAGGAGCATGGTTCAAGAGCAATACGGAAGACACCTAGGTTAGGCATTAACATGAGATCGTGAGTAGATAAGGAAACAAAATACTGAGCAACCCAGATTAATAGAGCTTTTTTATAGTAAGATCAGAAGATCATTAGGATTTTTAGAAGACAAATTTAGTGACAGGTTTAACAATAATGGCTGTAGAAAAAAATCAGAATATGGTCTTTCTGAATTAACTTTGAAGTAACACTGTGTCATGCAGCAGCATCTTTAGACCCAACACTATGGTGATAAACATTGTTGGTCAAGTTATGCTTGATTAGAAAGAAGAATAAAACAAGCAGAGGATGAAAAAACCTGGGGCACATGAAAATAAGATTCTTCTTAGTTTTTACTTTTTGTTGCCATGATATCCTCATACTTACAGCTAATAAGAATCTTAGTCCACATATATCTGCTCTCACAAGTTCAATAGAAGCCTTTCTTAAACTCATTTGAGCTTATTTCTTGCATGATCATCTATTAGTGTGTGACAAATACCTCAAAACTCAGTGACATACAGTAGTAGCATGTTTTGTATTGCTTACACATTTGCGTCAACTGGGATAGCTCTGCTCAATGTATTTCTCATTCTTCCGGCAGAAGCAGCTGTACAGAACATTTCATTCTTGTTCTGATGACAGAAAAGCAGGAGAGCATGTAATTTCAAGCCTATGTTTAAATAACACCACTAACTTCTCATTGATCAAATCAAGTCAAATACCCAAACCCAACATTGGTGGGACATGGAAACATTCTCTGCCCACAGTGGGAGGCAGGGGTACACAAATATTTGCTAAAAAAAAAATGAAAAAATGCAAACTATCATAGTCACTAAGCCAGTATATTCTAGCTACTTGAAATTACATAATTCAATTGAGTGCTGTGCAAACCAAGGAAATATAACAGGAAAGAGAGTTGCTTCATGAAAATTTAAATCAATATTTTGAGCTGACAGATCAAAGGCAAATAACCGAAAAAACAGATTCTGCTGAATAAGATATAGGTAACTTTGTTGTAAAATACTGGGGAGGGGGACAAGGATAAATAAATTTCTAAGTGATTCTGCCCTCAGATTGCTTTGCAATGTTCTTTAGCTTCTTACTCCATTAAAAAAAAAAAAAGCTAACATAAATGATGAGTTACTCTAAAATTATGTAGCACTCCAACTGGGAACTGTAGCCCTAGAACGGCATTGGCTGTACGTCAAATGGTATGTTTGTATTTGTGTGTTTGTTTAAATTTCAAATGCAGCATTTAAAGTACTCATGCATTATGATTCATGTTTTATATTAATTTGCTTTTTCAATTAATTAAAAATGACTAGCCTTGATCAAATCAGAGATAAGAACTCCTGATATCAAAAGTAGATTTAATTATTTAAAGAAAAAAATAGTAGAGTTCAGTATAAGTTTATACCTTTAGCTAATTACCAGATCTTCAGAAACTCACTTGACCCTTCTCTTGATGACAAGGTGGTTAAATCAGAATAATAGTTGTTAGTGAATACAAATTCCCAATGAGATCTGTAGCACTTTGATCATTATTCTGGGAACATTAAAAAAAGAAAAAAAGAAAAGTCTTTTCTACATGTCTTCTTTTACTAGATCACCTTCTAATCAGTGTGTTTCCACAAAGGCGCTGTTCAAAGAACTTAACAAAATCATGTCCAAGCTTAAGAGGCCCTCATTTAAACTCAAATATAAGACAAATGTTCAGCTGCCTGAGTCTCTTTTTGTCTAAATGTGATGGCATCATTGATACACTAGAGAACCTTAGCACTGGGAAAGCCACCCAGGAGAAAAGTATATGATTTATGCTTCAATTTGAATTTAAGCTTTCAATTTAAGCTTTAAATTTAAGAAAGTATGTTCCAGACATACTTTCTTGGCTTTTTAAATAATTTTTCCCATGTAACTATAAAACCAAAGGAAATGACTGGGACAAATCTCAATCAATTTAGAGGTTTATTTTGCCACAGTTGAGGACGTGCCTGGGAAAAAGGAACACAAAATCACAGGAACATCTGTGATCCATGCTTATTCCAAAGAGAGTTTGAAAACTTCAATGCTTAAAGGGGAAAAAGCTTTAAATAGGGGAAAGAGGGAAGAAAAGAGGCAGAATAAATAAAAGACTTGAAGCGGTTGCATTCCTCTGAGGCTTTTAATGGTGTTCACTGAATTCACATTTTACATGTGAAAAGAGTGGGTAGAGGAACAGTCAACCATGCATGTCTCACACTCAGTGAATCTGGATTTTTCCATAAGATAAAGTAAATACAGAGTAGAGGAGGCAAATATGCATTTGTCTCAGGGAGTGGAAGGAGGACTTTCAGTCCTGCCTTTGTTCTGTGAAGATAAGCTGTTGATTTACATTGTCAAGGCAAAACTTAAAAGAACTCTGTTTTAGGCTAAAGATCTTGGGGCCCACAGGAATTTCCTTGTGAGCAAATTGTGGAAAGAATCCCTGGGGAGGTATGCTGCCTTCTATCTTTGCAGCTGTCCATTTAAGAACAAAACGGGAGGCAGTTTTGTGTGACTCAGTTCCCAAGTTTAACTTTTCCCTGTGGCGTAGTGAGTTTAGAGTCCCAAGATTTTATTTTCCTTTCACATAAAATAATCCATAATTCCCATATTTTGATTTTCTCTATAGTAATAACTCACTGATTTGGTTAAGATCACTTTCTACATGCTTTCCATAGTTTCTTGCTCTTTAAAAAAAGTGGCATCCTCAATTTGTTTTGTGTATCTAAACTGCTTTAGTATACTTAATTATTTTGACCAAAAAGCTGCAGTCTCTTTTCACAAGTTTGTTTTCCATTATTTAATGTTGAAGATATAATTACTGTTTTTGCACAAAAACAACTAGTGTTTTCTGAGCAAACCAATCATGGATCAATTTATTTTGTATTCTTCAGTTTCTCTTCTTGGATGGTAGATTATATGTTTTCATTGTTGGTGGATAACTACTTTCTTATATAACATAAACTTCACTGTAGTGAATATAATAGTACCATGAATATGCAGGTTTCATCTATAAATCTTCTATTACAGTTTCTTGACATTGCTGGCTAAATTCTTTGAAAAAGCACATCCTTAAAGTATCACCCATTGGCCAAAAACAGATCTTCCATTATAAAGAAAGCTTATGTAAATAAAAATTAAAATCTCAGAACCCTCCAAATGTATGCAAAAATGAAGATTAAGCCCTGAAGCTGACTCATTACAATACCCTCTTCCAAATGAATAGCTGTTAGTAACATTATGGGTCAACCAAGTCTCCATGGAAAGGTAAAAAGCCTCAGGCATCTGGGAAGGGCTGCCCCCGCAGATTATTCATAGGCAAATTCTTTGCTAGCTTCCCATTAACAAAGACACACCAATTGTAACTTTAGGTCTGCAATCTAAGTCTACCTCCTAAAATTCCACACCGATTACACATTTATCTTCCCAGGTGCAGAACAAAGTCAAGGCTCATTTCCTATACCCATACTCAGAGACTTTGCATAATTGACTCTTCCTTAACTCTCTTTTCTTCTGCAGACATCCACATTACCTTATGTTAAATGTGGATTTACTGGGCACTAACTGAAGTCCCACCGGAATGTAACTATTCACCTTACTGCCTGCCTGTCCCTCTTCTTACATGCCTCTCCCCATCACCCCTTAAGGAAATGTTTATGGTAGAGTTTATAGTTTATGATGCTTAAACCTTATGGCAAAACACTAAACCTGAAAACCTCTTTGGGAAAAACAACCACACATGTGCTTATGGCTCATATTATTCCTGGAAATGCCCTAAGTCGGGCTTAATAAACCTCAGTGATTGAGACTTATGCCTCAATCACACATTTCTCTTGTCACTTTTCACAGACCTGGGTATCATGATGGGTTTAAATAGTTTTGTTTACAAGTCTACTATTGTATGTCCTTATAGAACCTAAGATAAGAAAGGGATAGACACAATGAAACCATTATTGACAATTCATACATACACCAGACATATACTATTCTAAAATGAGTCGCCCGAGCACGGTGGCTCACACCTGTAATCCCATCACTGAGGCAGGCAAATCTCTTGAGATCAGGAATTCTAGATCAGCCTGGCCAGCACAGTGAAACACCGTCTGCACTAAAAATACAAAAATTAGCCTAGTATGGTGGTGTGCACCTGTAGTGTCAGCTACTCAGGAAGCTAAGGCAGGAGAATCACTTGAACCCTGGAAGTGGAGGTTGCAGTGAGCGGAGATCATACCACTGCAAGTCTGGGTGACAGGGCCAGACTCTGTCTCAAAAAAAGAAAAAAAGAAAAAAGAAAATGACCCTTTCTGAATGATCCTAAAATGATCACCTCAATACAGCAGGGCGCGGTGGCTCACGCCTGTAATCCCAGTATTTTGAAAGGCCGAGGCAGGCGGATCACGAGGTCAGGAGATCGAGACCATCCTGGCTAACACGATGAAACCCCGTCTCTACTAAAAATACAAAAAATTAGCCAGGCGTGGTGGTGGGCGCCTGTAGTCCCAGCTACTCAGGAGGCTGAGGCAGGAGAATGGCGTGAACACGGGAGGCGAAGCTTGTAGTGAGCCGAGATTGCACCACTGCACTCCAGCCTGGGCGACAGAGCGAGACTCTGTCTCAAAAAATAAAGATTTTGAAAGTCTTTGAGATTGTACCCTTTACTCTCTTCCTGTAGTAAAGCTTTACTATCTTATTAATAAAATTGGTAAGGCATTTAAAATGGATGAGGAAAGAATTGCGTTGATGGTTTAGTCTTAGGAAAGGCTATTATCCTTTAAACTGTAAACTAAATTTTCCCCAAAATTAGCTTGGCCCACACCCAGGAATAACCAAGAGCAATTTGGAGGTTAAAGGCAAGATGCAATTGTTAGGTCAATTTCTTTCACTGTCATAATTTTCTCATGGTTATAATGTTTGCAAAGGAAGTTTCACTATTCGGTAGGGTAACTGCTTACCAAAATATCCAGGCAAGTGAGTGAAATATTTAACAGACTGAAAATCAATGCAGTCGTTTTTATTATACAAAACTAATGATTGTGGTCATGATATTCAAAATAAGAATTATCTAATAATTTGTTTAAGTACAAATACCCATAATGTATGAAATTAATAATGTTTCTTACATGAATTATCTTCTAATAATTTTCTTCTGCAAAAACTTTAACTTTCTTTAAAAATTGGAAACAAAATAATCAAATTGTGGTCCGACGTACTCAACTAACTTGTAAATAACAGAGATGGAGTGTACAACAGTGGAATAGCCAATACAGTGGACATCAACCTAGGTTCTAATCTAGATCCTGTTAGAACCTGGTTGTACAAATTTTAGCAAACACTTTCATCTCTCAGATTTTTAACTGGGTAATAAAATTTTGAAAGAATTGAACTCAAAAGTCTGTTTCAGATCTAAAATTCTAAGATTCTACTTGATGGTAAATATTCTCAAACATTCTTTTCAAGAACAACAACAAAAAAGTCACCCTGAAAAAATTCAAGTGCTAGAGAGAAATGGTTGCCCAATTTTTTTTTCTTTTTGTAAACAGCTTCTCTATTTAATGTTTTACAGAATTAACTAACTATATAATATAGACTTTAAAAGATCAATTACGAGAAATAAGACGTAGAAGTTTTTTAATTATCCGTGGTGTTAACCTCAAGGCTCAACTGCTTAGAAACGTTAACATGGTATTTGCACAAGCATGTTAGCTGCAGCTGTTACATGACACTAGGGGGAGCTCTAATACTGTTTTGTTTTATGTTCACTGTGGCTTTAGCGTTTATTTTTAATTTAGTTGTCATAAATTAATATCTAAATGTAATAATCCTCCAAATACAATAGTACCACCAAAATGAGCGTGCCCAAAGTGTCGATGTAACGTTAAAACTGATAGGGAAATTTGTCAGCCATTTTCACAAATGTGTCTTTAGAAAACTATGATTCCATGATTATTCAAAACTTCCATGAACTATATACGAACACAGATGTGTGTGAGGTTGAATATATGTGTATGTATGCATTTTCAATTGACATGTGACATATCCTGAAGACGGTTCTGTGTGCCTTTGAGAAGAATATATATTCTGCTACTGTTGAATTTATGTTCCGTAGATATACCTGAGTTCCATTTGGTCTATACAGTTGTTCAAGTTCACTATTTCCTTATTGATTTTCTGTCTGAATGAAATATCGTTGTTGAAAGTGGTGTACTGAAATCTCTTATTACTATAGTATCGTTGTCTATTTCTCCCTTCAGTTCTGTTAATATTTCCTTCATATTTAATATTTCCTTTATGTATTCAGGTGTTCTAATGGCAGGTGGATAGACATTTATTTTATATATTTTTATATATTCATATATATGTATTATATCTTACTGATACATTAATCAATTTATCATTATATAATGTGTTTCTTTGTCCCTTGAGATAATTTTTGACTTATATATATATATTTTTTCTGATATTAGCATAACCACCCCTGCACTCTTTTGATTACTATTTGCGTAGAATATCTTTTTCCATCCCTTCACTTTCAGCCTATGTGTGTCCTTAAATCGAAAGTCAGTCTGTTGTAGACAGCATATAGTTGGGTCCTGTTTATAATCTTTTCAACCACTAACTGTATGGTGATTGACAAATTTAATCTATTTACATTTAGGTGATTATTGATATGGAAGAACTTACTATTTCAATTTTGTTAATTATTTTATCTCTGGTTTGTAGTATTTCAGTTTCTCTTTTCCCATCTTGCTGTCTTTGAGTTTTACTGATTTTGAAAAAGTTTGTTTAAATTGTTATGGGTATATAATAATTGTATACATTTATGGGACACATGGGATGTTTTGATATAGGCATACAATGTGAAATGATCAAATTAGGGTAATTGGGAGTAGCCTTAACTGCAAGCTTTTATCTTTTTGGTATGTAAGGAACATTTTAATTCCACTCTTAGCTATTATACAATATACAAAAATTTTTTTAACTATAGTCAACCTATTGTGCTACCAAATACCACATCTTAGTCATTCCATTTATGTACCCACTAACCATCCTCACTTTATCCTCAGAAGGGTTCCCCTTTCTCCACAGGCCTGTTACCTAAAAGACAGGAATTCATTATTGCCTGTCTTTTAGATAAAAGTTATTTTAACTGGTTGAGATATCTCCCTGTTGTTTCGATTTTCATTTTTCTGATGATTAGTGATGTAGAGCATTTTTGTATATACGTGTTTGCCATATGTATATCTTCTTTTGAGAAGTATCTATTCAGCTCTTTTTTTTTTTTTTAGATATTTTGGCCATTTTAAATCAAATTATTTTTTGATCCTATTGTGTTTTTGGGGGGCTCTTTATATATTCTGGTTATTAATCTCTTATCAGATGGGTAATTCATAAATATTTACTTTCATTCTGTGGGTTGTCTCTTCACTTTCTTGATTGTTTCTTTGCTGTACAAAAGCTTTTTAGTTCGATGTGATCCCATTTGTTCATTTTTGCTTTGGTTGCTTTTACTTTTGAGGTGCTACTCAGGAAGTCTTTACCCAGATCAACGTCTTAGAGTGTTTCCCCAATGTTTTCTTCTAATATTATTATAGTTTCAAGTCTTAGATTTAAGTCTTTAATCCATTTTGATTTTTGTATATGGCAAGATACAGGGGTCTAGTTTTATTTTTCTGCACATGGATATCCAGTTTTCCCACAACAATTTATTGAACATACTGTTATTTCCCCAATGTATATTCTTGGCACTTCTGTTGAAAATGACTTGACTATTAATGTATGGATTTATCTCTGGGTTCTCCATTGTGTTCCATTGGCCTATGTGTCTACTTTTATGCCATTATTATGCTTTTGGGTTCATTTAGCTTGGGAGTATAATTTGAAGTCAGGTAATGTGATTCTTCTAGTTTTGGGTTTTTTTTTTTTTTTTTTGTGCAAAACGGCCTTGGCTCTTCTAGATCTGATTCTCTTTTCACTGTTTTTTTTTTCTGTATGTGTTTTTATATTGTGGTTATTATGAAGTATTCCATAGACATCTTATAGTTATAAAAGCCTATTTTAAGCTAATAGCAAATTATCATCAATAATGTACAGTCTACAATACAATATACTTCCTTGTCATACTTTATGTTTTTGATGTCACAATATACACCTTTCGACAAGGTAAGTCCATTAACACATTTTTGTAATTAGTTGCTTTTTATATTTTTGGATTTTTAACTTTTATACTACAATTAAAAGTGATTTCTACACCATCATTACAGTATTACAATATCCTTTATTTGTTTACATGATAACCTTTACTAGCAATTGTTACCCTTTTAACACTTTCCTGTTTCTGTTTACTATCCTTTAGTTTTAATATAAAGAACTTGCTTTCACATGTTTTGCAACTCATTTTTAGTGGTAGTGAACAAACTCAGCTTTTTTTTTTAGGAAAGTCTATCTCTCATTCATTTTTGAAAGAATATTTTGCTGGGTATAGATCCATAGTTGGCAGATTTGTCTTGTTTTTTCTTTTAGTACTTTGAATAAATCATCTAATTCCCTTCTGTCAGCAGAGTTTCTGCTGAGAAATTCACTGATAGTATTATGGGAGCTCCTTTACACATAATAAATCTATTTTCTCTTGTGCTTTCAAAAGTATCTCTTTATCTTTGAATTTGACATTTGATTATAATGCATCTTAGTATAAACATTTTGGTTTACCCTAATAGGACAAATTTGAGCTTCATAAATATGGATGTCTATTTTCCTCCCCAGATTTTGAGAATCTTAGGCCATTATTTTTTAAAATAAGTTTCTGGCTTTTTCTGCCTTTTCTTTCTGGAATGTCACATATATATTGTTTCCTTTTATTTGTTATGTCCCATTAATCCCATAACTATCTTTATTGTATTTTATTTCTTCTTCTTCTTCTTCTTCTTCTTCCTCTTTTTTTTTTTTGACATGGAGTCTCTCTCTGTCACCCAGTCTGGAGTGTAGTGGTGCGATCTCGAATTACTGCAGCCTCTGCCTCCCGGACTCAAACTATTCTCGTGCCTCAGCCTCCAGCGTATCTGGAATTACAGGAATGTGCTACTGTGCCCAGCTAATTTTTGTATTTTTAGAAGAGATGGGGTTTCGCCATGTTGGCCAGGCTGGTCTTGAACTCCTGACCGTAGGTGATCAGCCCTCCTTCGCCTCCCAAGGTGCTGGGATTACAGTTGTGAGCCACCACACCTGGGCCTTTTTTGCTCTTCTGACTGGATAATTTTAAATTATCTGTCTTTGAACTTGCTGATACTTTCTTCAGTTTTATCAAGTCTGCTGTTGAAACTGTCTCTTTGATTTTTCAGTCCAGTTATTGTATGGTTTCTATCTCTTTATTGATAGTCTCATTTTGTTCATGGGTCTTTTTTCTGATTTTGTTGAGTTGTAGGTCACTGAAACAGTCATGGCTCACTGCAGTCTCAACCTACTGCAGTGATCCTGCAGGGCTCCAGTGATCCTCCCACCTTAGTCTCCCAAGTAGCTGAGACTACAGATGTGTGCCACAACAGGTGTGCCACAACATTCAGCTAATTATGATTATTATTATTTTTCTTGTAGAGATGAGGCCTCAATGTGTTGCCAAGTCTGGTCTCAAACTCTTAGCCTTAAGAAATTCTCGTGTCTCAGCCTCCCAAAGGGCTGGGATTACAGGCATGAGCCACAACAGCTAGCCTCACTGAGCTTCTTTAAGGTAATTATTTTGAATTCTTTCTCATGCAAACCATAGTTCTTCATTTCTTTACAGTCTGTTACTGGAGGTTTATTTTTCCCTTTGGTAGTGTCATCTTTTCTTGATTCTTGGTGGTTCCAGTAGCTTTGCATTTGCATCTACACATTTAAAGAATCACTCACTTCTTCCAGTCTTTATCAGCTGGTTTCAGCGGAGAAACTCTTTTACCAATCAGCCTAGCTGGAAGCTTCTCAAATATTTTCTGTGGCTGTACACATTCCACTCCTTTTCTATTCTTGGTGGACACATTTCAGGGTTGTGCCTCTTCTCCCAATCTCAACATGTTGTGCTGGTCACAGTAAGTCATCTTCATGAAAGGAATGCACTGGAATGGTGACAGGCTGGGTGCAAGTTCCACTTCTTTCTCTTCCTCCTGAAGGGTAAGACTCAGGATTGTAAACTTTCTCTTTATGTCACAGTGCCATACAGACTTGAAAGCTTCTTGCCCCATTTCCCTAGTGTAGCTCCACTTTTCTCCCTTCTTCCTGAATACAGAATCTAAAATATTTGCATCTTCTTTCCATCCCACAGTGCTATGCTAGCTGCTGAGAGACTCAGCACGTTTCTTTGGTGTTAGCTTCCCCGAGGCATTCTATTACTGGTTCCCTGACTGCTTGGAGTTGAGGTAAAACAAAATTAGGATTACTGGGGAGAACCCCAAGCCTGGGAATGTCAGATGGACTCTTCCCTGAGTCTTTCCCCCAAGGGAGAAATGTTGAGCCTAATGAATTTCTTTTGTCACTGAGCCAGAGTGGCTTGTGGGAGAGGTTGACACAGATAAACTAAAATTGTTCCTTTCATCCATTTCAGAAAGATTTTTCTAAGTTTTTCACCTTTCGAGGCTGTTTCAAGTTCTTAATTGGATTTTACAGGTTTTATAAAGGTATTTTGGCCCAAATAGCATTGTTTTATCAGTGTTTATGTGTGGAGATGAGTGCTAAGACTTCCTACTCTGCCATCTTGCTGATATCACTCTTCAGCAAACATTTTTATTTATAATGATTTTTTATATTAGCTAGAAATTTACCAATTCTTTAGTTAATTTATCTGTTTTTAAAAATTTCTTTGTCAATTTTTCTATTGAGTTTTTTTATCGAATTGTATAAGTTCAGTCTTAGATCATTGATTCTAGACTTCAGGTGTTATATAATTTAGTAATTGAGATTTTGATTTATTTTCACATCAAAATTTAGAATAAATATGTAGTGAAGTATGGAAATCTTTTAGCATATGGCTTCTGGGCAATAGTTTCTTTGACTTTATATGCAGAAAGGAAATTGGACTCTTTAATTTGATTTTTAAATGAACCCTGAAATTGAACATTAAACTATAAAAGAAATCCTAATAGGCTGCATTATTCTTCTTACTTTCTTCATTAGCATAACATTTAACAATAGTAATTTAATAAATATCTGATTCAATACAATTTGAACACTATATCATGAACTGTATTTAGAAATTGCCAGTAACACTTTTACTAAACAATCTATAGTCATTTTTCAAAACATCAACTCTTTTTTACAAATTTTATCTCATGTCATACGTAGAGTCCTTTTAAAAATAGGGTTAGCAAAAAGGACTTGGTTGCTTTTTTATGCGATGTTTGAATGCAGTCATCTCTGAGACTGGCCTGACTGCTTGATGACTTTCTGTATGCAGTTTTCTGAGTCACTCATGTTAAGCTTTAAACTACTTAAGTTTTTTTTCTGAGCCTGAGAGGAAGAGAAGACATCTGGTCACCAGCCTTTACATAATTAGCCTTTATATTAGAATATTAGAAGACTGCCTTTGCCTTCTGCTTATGTTGAACCATTAAAATCCAATTTTTATATCTCCTTACCACGAAATGTATAAGAACAAATTCTTATTGCCATGGTGGCTTGATATATGTAATAGGGGAGAAACAATGTTAAGAAATGGGAAAAAGCTGACTACCAGAGAGTTTTATAACTTATCATAAATCCCACAGCAATGCATATATTGTTAATCTGTCAAAAGCTCAGATTTAAATATAATGGAATCTCCAAATAAAAAGAAATGTAAAGAAAATTAGATTTGCAATGTCTTAATATTTATGTAAGGAATAGGAGACGTAAACATTGTCATTTCTAAGTCCCCCTACTATACAACCACAAGAAAGATTTATTCAACATTTCTCTTTTTTTTATGGATGACTGACCTTCAAAGTTAGGAATTATCAAGAAAAGAATTTATGCAAAAAATCGGGTCATCTGGCATTTGCAAGAATTGCAAGCAGAAACAAACTTCAGAGTACCAAATATTTAAAAACAGCATTAGCCAGCCTAATTGAGCCAGATTGATACTTAAACAAATACTGAAAATTAGAATGGAACAAAAATGTATTTCAGCGAAGTGCTGTTCCAAGTATAATGCAGTTACTCCTGTGGCAGCCCATAAAATGTTTGATAATAGAATCTGTTTGGCAGAAGGTTTGCTTAGAGAGGAAATATACCCTAATAAACTTGCTCTAGTCAGTTGGAATCCCTGGGAAACAGACCCTAAAATAGAGATTAGCATTCAGGAGTTCTATTCGAAGTGTTCTTAAGATCAATGTCTATGAGTAAAAGAAAGGAAGGAAAGATAGGGCAGAGGATGAAGTGAAGCAGTAAGAACATTTTATGGAATACCTCAGCCAACCCTATGAATAACTCAATTTGGAATAACTTTTCAAAAATCTTTACAAAATGTGTTTTATTTATGTTATTTACAAGAAATGTGTCAGACACAATTTATATTCCTTCTAAGATTCAATCAGCCCCATTCACCTGAAATGCCCAAAGCCAACTGCAAATGCTTCATTTCCTGGTATCATCAGTTTATTCTTCCTCTTACGCTGAGAAGAGGCATCAGAAAACCATTCATTGTAATAGATTCCTTTTTTTCTCAGGCCCTTAAATCTTTATTAGCGGTCAGTAATTTTATGAATGGGAAAACCAAATTTCACGGTTTAAAAGGTTTTTCCAAAATAGAATTTCTATGGAACTTTATCTGTTTGACTTCAGTAACTTGTTATCTCCTTGATATATTCTTCACTGTTATCATAAGTTATTACTAATGTTATATGACAGACATTTTTTTTTGTATTAAACTCCAGAGGCCTACAAGGAATGATGCCACTTCTAAAAAGATCATCAAATAAATTAACTCGAGATAGAGTATTTTCATTTACAGAGGGAAAAATTTTTCTCTTTTAGTTTCAGATTCCACATAAAATCTAACGAGTGATGTCACAATTTTAAAAATAAAAAGATATAAATGAAAAGCAGTAAATATTCTAAATTTTTCTTAAGAAATGGCTCAAGAATACCAAATGCATTGAAGTAAGACTTAAAGCTGCACTCACCTGATTCTCTTTGTAAAATAGTAATAATCATGTGGATTAACTCATAGAATAATGCATTTTTAAGAATCATAAGCTGAATAATTTTAACGAAAAAGAATAGGATTGAAGAATAAGTACATCACACATTTTAAAGGCAAGTAGAGATTTTTGGAAAATATCTACTCATTTACATTTTTACATTGTTTATATTGGGTGTAGTAGTTATCTAGTCCCCAAAAATGACATAAACAATAACAATTTATTAACTCACAGTGGGTAACTCTATAGAAATTTGGGGATAGTTTAAGTGGGTTGTTCTACTTCAAAGTCTCTCACATTATTTCAGTTAAGGTGTAAGCCATGGCTACAGTCATCTAATGATTTGACTTGGACTGGAAGATCTACTTCTAATAGGGCTCATTTACACGGCTGTGACAAAATGCCTCCATCTCTTATGACTTGGCGGCTGGCTTCTTCTAGTGTAAAAGATTAAAAGAGAGAGCAACATGGAAGCTTCATATCTTTTATCAGTCAGCTTCTGATGGCACACTCCAATACCATTTCATATTGATTATACAAGTTGTCCCTATTTTATACGGGAAGACTATAGATGGGTAAAAATAGCAGGAAATAGTGACCATGGAGTGATTTTTTAGAGAATAGCTACTGCAAAGATTTGCAAAATAAAATATTTCCTTACTTTAAGTCACAGTCTAACTTATTTTAAAAAACATAATGTACAGCTTTTAGAATCAGAAGACTTCAGTGTGAAAACTAACTTTTTCATCAGAAGGAAATTATTTAATCTTTAGGCTTAATGTTCTCATTAGAAAAATGGAAGTTGAAATATTTGCCCTTCTTTTTCTGAGTTGATAATGGTCCTTTTAACCAAGATTAAGGATAAATGTCACAGATTAAAATTAGTTTGTTCCCTTATATTCTCTAGAATACTATTAGCACTATTCATCCTTAAGTAAAACTTTTATGGAGGACACACTTTGGTTTTCTTATTGCACAGAGGATTCAATGCAAAACAGCAAATTTATAATTTTAATAACTAACATGGGAAAATATGCTGCTTTTTATATTCAGGATTTTTTATTCATACATAAAAAATTGTACAAATGTATGGGGTACATGTGATATTTTGATATATGCATACAATGTGTAATGATCAAATTAAGGTATTTAGAATATCCATCACCTCAAGCATTTATCAATTATTCATATTGGGAACATTTCAAGTCTTCTAACTGTTTTAAAATATGCTATAAATTATTATTAACTATAATTATTCACTGATAATAACTATATTATTAACTTATTCCTTTAATCTAACTGTATATTTGTATTCATTAACAAATGTCTCTTCATCCCCTCTTTTACTCTTCCCTGACTCTGGTAACTGTCATTTTACTTTCTAACTCCATGAGATCAAATCTTTAAGTTCCACCAGATGAATGAGAATGTGCAATATTTGTCTTTCTGTGTCTGGCTTATTTCACTTAGTGAACTCCAGTTCCATTCGTGTTGCTGCAAATAACAAGATTTTATTTTATTTGTGACTGAATAATACTCCACTTGCATATATACCACATTTTCTTTATCCATTCACCCACTGATGACACTTAGATTGGTACCATAACTTGGCTCTTATGAATAGTGCTACAATAAGCATTTAATATATCAATTTCCTTTCCTTTGGATAAATACCCAGTAGTGAAATTCCTGGAGTGTATGGTAGTTCTATTTTAAGGTTTTTGAGAAATCTCCATATTGGTTTTCATAATGGCTGTACTAATTTACATTTCCATCAACAGCAGTATGTAACAGTTCCTTTATCTCCATGTCCTTACCAGTGTTGATTTTTTTTTCTTTTTAATGATAACAATTCTAGTTGGGGTGAGATGATATTTTATTGTGGTTTTGACTTGCATTTCTCTGATGATTAGCAATGTGGAGCCTTATTTTTCATACACCTGTTGGCCATCCATATGTCTTCTTCTGGAAAATGTGTATTCAGATCCTTTGCCCACTTTTTAATGAGGTTATTTGTTTTTTGCTGTTGAGTTTTTTGAGTTCTTTGTATATTCTGAATATTAGTCCCTTGTTGGATAAATGGTTTGCAAATATTTTCATGCATTCTTCAGGTGGTTTCTTCACTCTATTAATTGTTCCCTTTTCTCTGCAGAAGCGTTGTAGTTTAACATAGGCCCATTTGTCCATTTTATTTTTATTGCCTGTATTTTTGAAGCTTTAAGCCATAAAACCTTCACCTAGATCAACACCCTGAAGTGTTTCCCTTACATTTTCTTCTAATAGTTTTATGTTTTTATGATTTATGCTTAATTATTTAATCCATTTTGAATTGATTTTTGTATAGGTGAGAAATATGTGTCTCATTTCATTCTTCTGCATATGGATATCCAGTTTTCCAAGCATCGTTTATTGAAGAAGATGTCCTTTCTCCAGTATATATTCTTGATGCTTTTGTCAAAATCACCTGGCAGCAAATATGTAGATTTATTTCTGTGTTCTGTATCCTGTTCCATTAGTCTATGAGTCTGTTTTTATACTAACGCTATGATATTTGTAGTATTATAGCTTCATAGTATATTTTAAGGTCAGGTAGTATGATACTTCCCTGTTTTTTTCCAAAATGCTGCAGCCCTCTGGGTGAACATTGTGGTATGTCAGCAGGGATCCAGGAATGTAGGGATGTAGGGACTATTCAGCCTTTAGGAAAAATGTAGCCTAGCAGGGGCTGGGCTCTCAAAATGGTGGTTTGCTGTAGTTGCTTGGGTCCAGGGGGTGCGTGGGACCCAGGGGGAACTCCTTCTCTGGAACAATTATGTGGACTCCTGGCAGCTCCCAGTACTGGTCTCAGAGCCCTTGAGGGGCAAGGGGACTTCCAGTGCCTAGAATTGCAGGGGTTCATAGTGGGTATGTGGACCACTGGGAATCTCTTGCTTACCTTTTCCCTGCAATGGGGAGTTTCCTTTGTCAGCTGATCCTGATCAGCCCAGCTGCTTTGTTTCCCTATTCTCCCATCCCTCCGATGTTTTCTGTCATTTCCCTGCTGAATTCTACTGCTCTCTCTTAGATGCTCTGTTCCGCCTGTGATTATCTACTCACTGCTTTGGTTCTTCTTTGTGGAGGATGTGAATGTCAGGCACCTCTAGTCAGTCATCTTGAAGCCCTCATCTGGCCTCACCTCAACATGCTGTTTTTTAAGATCCACATTTAATCTGTTTTTTTCTTCATCCTACTGGACTTCTTATATTTTTGGTACATCTGATTTTATATCCCAAATAAAAATCTGTTACTGAAATTTGAACATACATTTTGTATGGGATTTGACTAATACATTAGCATCCGTAGACACAAGGTCTATTTACTTTTGCTTGAGCCACTAGTAAATGGCATATCATTATATAATTTACTAAAATATATTTATACTTTGTGGCATGAAAAATTAGTAAAGTATAAAAAGAAAAAGAAATAGACGAAGAATTTACATTATTTGGGCCAGGCATGTTGGCTCATGCCTGTAATTCCAGCACTTTGGGAGGCCGAGGCAGGCAGATCACTTGAGGTCAGGAGTTGGAGATGAGACTGGCCAGCATGGTGAAATCCCATCTCTACTAAAAATACAAAAATCAGCTAGGTGTGGCATCACTTGCATGTAGTCCCAGTTATGCAAGAGATTGAGGCATGAGAATCTCTTGAACTCAGGAGGCGGAGGCTGCAGTGAGCTGAGATCGCACCAATACATTCCAGTCGGGGCAGCAGAGTGAGACTCTGTCTCAAAAAAAAAAAAAAAAAGAATTTACATTATTTGGACAATTATCCTGCTATTTCCACCAGGACTCCCTAACTTAGTAAACATTATATTGTTGATGATGTAATTTAAAATATTTCATTATCACTATAAGTTAACTAATCTATGCCCCAGGGAAACATATTTAACATTTACTTAGTATTTGAAGGCCTCTAGAAAGAAATACAACCCGAAGATATCTCTACATTAAGCATCAAAGCGGTCACTGATCAATAAAAATAATACCCAGAATTTTTTTTTTTTGGTAAAATGAGTGATATTTAAGAAAATGTGATTGAAAAGAATGTATAATCCTTAGGACCTTTGCCTAGTTTCCGCTACTTGGAATGTTCACCGCTGCTAATTTTCTCATCTCATTCAAATCGTTGTTCTAAGATTATTTTCTCATTATAAAAGACTTTGAACTTCCTATTTTAAATTCTACTATAAATTCTCCCTAGCAATCTGAGTCCTCCTTACCCAGTTCTCTTTTTTTCTAATATACTTCTTAGTTTATTTTCTGACTCTTTCCTGTAAGCTTTACAAGTGTATACATTTTTTTTTCTCCTTTTTAATGCTGATCCCCATTTTCTAAAACACTGCCACTCAGTGACTGGTTAGGAAGCACTTTTGGATCAATAAATGAGAGAGTGCTACTTCCCTTTCTTCTCACTTTACTATTACAGTTTTTTATACCTAAAGCTTTGTGTGTGTGTGTGTGTGTGTGTGTGTGTGTGTGTAATGTATCTATAATTTGTGGAGGTTTTCTTTTCTTCCACTTTAAAGTTGTATTTTATTATTACGTCCATGATAAATTTTCCTGTTTTACAAATATGCCTCAAGGTAATAGACAGTAATTGAACTTAGTATCTTTTATCTCATAAAACAGCAATTTTCAAACCTCAATGTGGTAAGAAAACATAGAGGAGTCTGCTAAAATTGCAGCATTTCATGTCATATCCTCAAAATATCAATTCAGTAAGTCTGGGGAGGGGCCCAGAAGTCAGCAGAATAAACAAACATTCCAGATAATTTAGGTAAAGGTAGTTATTTGATAACGGTTTGAGAAATACTGTGGGCTGCCCACAAATTGATAACAGCAAACCCTGACTCTGAAAGATTAACTGTTCTACTGATTTTTAGGTAATAAAAATGTAAAGAATTTTCAGCCTGTTTAACATGGATGGATTAAAATAGTAAAAGACAAATCATTTCTTTGTTTTCTGTTACATTTATTGATTTTTCCTATTAATTTATGTTAAATAACCATTCAGTAATTTAACAAATAATCTGTAGGTTTGCTAGAAATGTTTCCCTATCTTGGCTGATTTTCAGTGATAAGTAAAATTTAAGTTCTACTTTCAGAAGTAAACCTTGTGATTATCCCCAAATGGTGGTGTTTAGACATGGTAATTAAAATGCAGTCATTCATTTTCCAGAGACTTCCAATGATTCGTAAATTCAATCTAAACATAATCCTGTCAGGATTGCTTTAGCTACATTACCGATTCAGACTCTCATCTCAATTTACGTAACTGTTTATGAAGTTAGTATGTTCTATTTTTTAGGCTACATTTCCTTTTATTTGCAGTAGTAATTATTGTAACCAATCTTGACAGCAAGTTGCAAATGAATCTCTCCACTGCTAAAGACAGTTTGTTCTTAGTATAAACAAAATCTATATATCTGCCCCAAATTCATTCATCTGCACTAAAATTTTGAATTACCAAAAAACAGATAAAATAGATAAAATAAATAAAATAAAAGCAAATTAATGTGATCCAGGTAATATATGAAACAAACTACTTTTTAAAAAAAATTTAAATGTAGGGTCTCACTTTGTCACGAGGCTAGAGTGCAGTGGTATGATCTCAGTTCACTGAAGCCTTGACCTCTTGGGCTCAAGTGATCCTCCTACCTCAGCCCCCCGAGTAGCTGGGACTGCAGGTGTGTACCACCACACCGGGCTAATTTTTTCTGTATTTTTTGTAAAGATGGAGTTTTGCCATGTCACCCCAGCTGGTACTTTCTGTTTTTATATCAAATTTGCTATTATTAATTTCTTCACTATTTCTTTAATACAGTTTTTTTAAATGATGAGCACTGCCAAATTAATAAAACTTAAATGTAAGAAGTAAAGGATTTATTTTCAAAATGACCTAGAAAATGCGTGTGAATTGACTTCCTTCTCTCTATACTAGAGAAGTTTTCTATAAAGAAAAAAGAACTGAAGTAATTCTAAGACTAAAGACAGAAGAAAGTCTTCTTTTTCAATTGAAATATTGTTGCAAATATATTTGGAATATTCAGATTATCCCAATAAATATCCCACAGAACTCTGTATTTAGACCCAGCCTAAAATAAATTATTCTGAGGTTTCAATTATTTTAGGGTTGGTTCCTCTATTGCTGTCAAAGGAAATTCAATTCTACAAGCATTTATTGAGTATTCCATATAGAAAACATGTGCCAATTCCTGGCAGGAAAGAATAACCATGCAGGAGGGGAAAGGCCCTAAAATAAAAGTGTTTCTCAAACTAAGGGATAGAGCTAGAATTAAAAATGATTTTTCAGACTGATGTTTCCAAAGAGATAATTATATTTATATAAAGTTTCAAGAGACCATTAATTCCACCTTTATAGTAGCTAACTCATCAGTGACATAAAAACATGAAGTCATCAGTATACTACAAATTTCAACCCTTACTGTTTGTCAAGTTTTGTGTGAAGGACTTGAGACATGAAAACTTAGATGTCTCCAGTATTTGTCTGAGCTACATTCCCTTTCCATATTTCTCCTGTCCTGGAGGGGCTGAAAGTCTTGAAATCAAATTGCTCCAATGGGAAGTTCTTGCAAAGGATTTGGAAGGCAAAAGAAAAACAAAAACTGTCCTTCTCCTCCTGAAACCTATGGTATAGATGGTAGAGCTTGGTAGATCCATAGTTTTGCAGAGGTCTCAGTAGTCTAGTGGAAATTACTCCTCTTGGGGCTGCAGCAACCTCTGACAATTGGTGCTCCCTTATCTGGAAAACTTGAGTAAAACCTGAGAGCCAGGGATGACTTTCCCTGAACTTTGCTTCTCTATCCCTTACAATAGTTTGTAAGCACTTAATTCCTTGTGCAAACTTTCCTCCTTCATAAATCCTGAAAGATTTATTTTCCAAACCCTACCTTGAGACTGATTCTTATAAACAATTCTTTGTCCGCAATGTTTAGGCATATTTAGGCCATGTTCAGAATTAATCATCTTTTCTTTTCCTCTGGAGAATCTACAACACTAGGGTTATGTCTAAACCAAAAAAAAAATGTAATAAAAATATACTTAAATTTTGACAGATAAGTATGAAATAATTGACATGAAATGGCCCTTTATGTAGATAAAGATTCCTTAAAAACTGCGCTGAGTCAATATAAAGAATGGAATTCAAATTGACACCTTCATATTTAAGCAAGCAAATAACCAGATTTGCTTTTATTTGAGCAGTTTATATAATTTTTTAAAAAAGCTTAAAATATTTCTAAAGATAATATGAAACATTTTTATTTTAAGTTTAATAAATACACTTATTTTTCATAGTAAGTATACAGAGTTTTGCTGGCCTTTAGACATTATATCCATTTATGTGCTGTACCAACAAATGCTCTGATGATATCACTGTAAATTATATCCGAGTACAGATGACAGAAGAGAATCATAGATCGTAGCATATGCATGTATCCTCAAGCAGAATTTGTTATTACATTTGATAGAGAAGCAAGTTAAACTTTAATCCCTACAGTGTTCTTTGGATGGTCTTGCTTTTGTTTATTTATTCTAGCATGAAAGTGTAAAATATTGTCTATATCCTTAAGGGTCTCAAGCTTATTTTCAAAATCCTCATTTTGTTATTCTATAGCCTGACTCAATTCAGCTCAAAGAAACACATTCCCTTAGGTGTTATAATGGTTAGTGTACAAATTATTTGACAACTTGGTCATACAGCTGTAGTAACATAGATACGCTCTCTTTCAGTACATATCCAGGATGTATAGCTCCATCAAAAAGAGAAATGGCAGTAATATAAGAACACGTGTAGTAAATGGGGCAGTTTAGCAAAGCGTTTAGCGATGATTTTGCTAGAGATTGCAGTAGAAGGAACAAAAATTTCACGTATCATGCCTGCAGTAATCTTTCTTGTAAACATTTACAATGAGGTGGTTAAAGGACCATTTGGTCTTTATGCCTGCCATTTCACCATTTAAGGCTTTGTACACTAACTTTTCGGCAGCAAATGATTATGGTTTAGAAGACAACAACATTTTAATGTATTGTAATGTATTTTTAAGAAAAGAGCAGAATGTAATTTATCTATGGTAAATGTGATAATTTGAGAGTATTTGTTATCTAGAAAATCCTATTACAACCACTAATTTGAAGTACACAAGACAAGTCAAATTTTGGATTTTTAATGTAAATGATCTTTATATGTTAGGCACTATATTTACAACTGTATTTAATGTTCAAAAAACAAGTTCAATTTCTGAGTTAAATGTATGATTTGCAATCATTTTTTGAAGCAAGAGATAATTTACATATATAACACAAAAGGACATATTTAAAAGTATATTTGTTGTAATTTCTAAATCATTCACTATTTATATGAGCTATGGGATATAAGTTACAATACCTTGCTAAATCTACTGAATTTTCAAGCTTAAAGTAGTCTTCATTTGTAGTGAATGCCTTTTTCTCTAATTAAACAGAAAAATTCAGAGTCAAATCTTTGAAGTGTGTGTCCATATGTAATATACTCAGAGATTATCAGGCAAGCCACTTACTGTAGATGAAAGCCTAAGGGAGGTGACTTAAATATAGTGCTCAGTTGGAACAGAAGGTGGAAAAAGGGGTAGAGACCTGTAAGTTCCCCATAGTTGAGGAGGTGGTCCAAATTAACACGGTGGGGGTTGGAATTTTCCTCTGGAAAATTAATATAGAGAAATATGTGGGAAAAGTCAGAGGTTTGGTGCATCAGTTTTTAGAACAAAGAGATAATCTAGGCTGGGCACAGTGGTTCACACCTGTAATCCCAGCACTTTGGCAGGCCGAGGTGGGAGGATCCTTGAGCTCAGGAGTTCCAGACCAGCCTGAACAACATAGTGAGAGCTCGTCTCTACTAAAAAGCAAAAAAAAGTAGCCAGGCACGGTGGTATTTTCCTGTAATGCCAGCTACATGGGAGGACTCTTTGAGCCCAGGAAGCAGAGGTTGCTGTGTGAGCTGTGATAGCATCACTGCACTTTAGCCAGGCAACAGAGCAAGATCCTGTCTCAAAAAATAAAAACAAGGCAGCATAGCTGCCCCAGATTTCAGATCCAACGTAGATGTTATGCTATGCCAGACGAAGGCTTTTTTTTTTTTTCCCCCACAGACCCATGTATTTCATTGAGAACAGAGAAAAAAAATGCAGGCACATCATTTACAATGGAAAAATAAGTGAAGCCCCCTTGGCTTAGAACTACTTTCTCTGAAAAGATTTGATAAACACATCTTCCAGGAGCTGGTATTTGAAGAACCGTATTTTGGTTTATTGGTCTTAATAAGTATCTCTGATGTGGCACCTCGTATCTTTCTCCAGAAAACGTTCTTTCTGAAACACAAAAAATAAATAAATGGTTATAGGTTATCTCTTTAAAATGCAAGAGTTTTATGAAGCTTTAACTGTATTTTGTAGTACTTGTTTTCAGTTTTTGAACTCTGTACTAGTGTATCTTATCCTCTTCTGATATATTCTTTTCTCTTTCTTTCCAAGGTCTTTTCTGGAGTCTGTTTTCTATAGAACAGTATGTCCTTCTGAAAATGGTAGTGGCCAGGTCTCTTACCTGGGTTGCAATGTTGGAGAGATTATAACATTTTCTGTCCTTGAGTTAGCTTTATATATAACTCTGTTCCCTCTGGAAGTTTAAAATTATCCTCCAAAAAAAAACATAAGCTTTCAATTCTTTTAGTATTCTTTCTAAAAAGTCAATTTTGGATACACCAAATTGACTCGAAGATTTCCCACCAAAAAATTATTTTAAAACCCTTTTTTTGTTCACTTAAACCTACACACTCCTTCAGAGTAAAATTTTTGACCTGAGTTCTCCAAATGCTGTCATTATTCTTTTATTATCTACTCATAATCTAGAATCACACCATGGAGTCCATTAATTTTTTAGATATTTTGGAATTTATTTCTCAACTTGTTGCTCACTCAGATAAATTATCCTTATTGTTAGGAGGGTTTCCAAGGAAAAAAATAATAGTACATATAATATCTCAGAAAGTTTAAGAAAATCGGGGCTAGCCTTTGGTGCTTAGAATTATATTTCATACCTATCACATATTTCATCATTTTTTTTTTTGAGACGGAGTCTCACTCTTGTCGCCCTTATCATGTATTTTTAATTAAAATAATTAGATTTAGACATGTATGGGTATTTGAGTTCTCTTGCTACACATTGTCTTAAATGGCCAACTTTTTCCAACATCTATGTGCTGTTTAGATATTTCCATTCTAAGATTATTATTCAATTCTTTGGTAGTCTTGTTTTTCTTATGCTGAGTAGTGTACCTCATTTCACTTACATTGGCCTTCAATAGTAACTTTTGGGCTATTTTTCTTGTTGGCCAATGGATGTCATGGAGTAAGTTCTTTCTAAGGGACCACAACTGGCAAGCAAGTCACTTTTTTCAGATGAAATCTGTTTTAATTGACCTTTGAGGCTTTATCTGATTCACAAAAATGATGGATTTTTCATCTCCATGGTGGATTCTAATTCTAACTTCATAGGTTTTGCAGTTGCCCTGGTGGCCCCATATGAAACCAGATCCTCTGAGTGTGAACAAGTCATAAGATAACGAATTTAAAATCTAGGGCAGGGAGATGGCTGAGACCATAGAAGCCAATAGTGATGCAGGATTTTTTGCTCCTTAGCTCAGTTAAATTTGGGTTCTTGTCTCATGACCAGGGAGAATTAGGCACTCAGGCACATTGAAGGGTGAGGAGGGTGGAATTTATTAAGTGAAAGGAAAACTCTCAGCAAAGAGGAGGGAGTCCTGTAGGCAGGTTTTCACCTCCCCAATTGAATACTAGGGCCACAATACAGGAGCTGAAGAGGCCAGGCTCCTCCCTTGCATAAGACACAAATTCCTGGTGGCTCCACCCCATTCCCCCAGTGGATGTGGGCCTCCAGTTCTCTGCAGGCATGCCCGGGCAGATCCCCTGTGCAGGTTCCCTTATCTGCACAAATCTTCTGGCGTAAGCACTTGTGGGACAGGTTGGAGATTCTCCAAGGACCCTCCTCTGTCTGCCTAGGCATTTGGCTGTCTTTGGCCTCTATCAGTAGGGCATGGCCACTGTAGCAAGTGTGGCAAAGGGCTGGCCTGAAGCCTGAGTCCTTACTTTCTTCCTTAAACTCAGCTATAAGTGCTCAAAGAGATCTCACCAAAAACACAATAAATATATCCATATGGAATAACACAAAATGTTCCAATAATACAAAAGGAGATTGGAAGAGGAAAGAAACTAATTTTTTTTTAAAAAAAAAGAGGGAACAAGTATAAAACAAGGAATAATATGGTGGACCTAAATCCAAACATGTCATTAATTACTTTGAATGCAAACTGTCTAAAAATGCTAATTAAAAAAGAGATGCTGTCAGATTAGATTAAAAGTAAGACCCAACAATATACTGTTTATAAGAAACTCACTTCATATGTCATGTAATAAGTAGGTTACAAGAAGAATGGGGAAAATATACTATGCAAATACTAAATAAAAAGCTGTAGTGGCTTTAATAATATCAGATTAGACTTCAGAAAAAAGAAAATTACCAAGTATGAAGAGGCGTATTACACAGTGAAAAAAGGGGCTATTCACCAGGAAGGCATAGCAATCCAAAATAAGTATGTACACATGTACACACACACACACAAACACACAGAAATGACAGAAGCAATATAATAATCCAAATTTTAGTTAGAGAGTTCAGTGCTCCTTTCTCAGAGATAGAACAGACAGAAAATCAGCAAGGTCATAGAACTAAAACCACCGTCACTTCAACTGGATCTAACCGACATTTATAGGTGCACTACATCCTCCAACAGCAAACTATTCTCTTTAAGTGCACCTGCATTATGCACCAAGGTAGACCATGTCATAGGTCATAACACAACCATGACAAATTCAAAATAATAGAAATCATAGACAGTATGTTCTCTGACCATAATGGAAGTAAACTAGAAAAAAATACTGGAATAACTCCAGATGCTTGAAAATTTAACATGCTTCTCTGTCAAACATTGATTAAATACAAATTCTCAAGGGAAATTTAAAATACTTTGAACTGCAAAAAAATGAGAATATGGCATAGCAAAGTTTGTGGGATACCATGGAAGTAGTGACTAGAAGGATATGTATTATATTAAAACGCTCATAAAAGAAAAATATATATCCAATCTAAAATTTGAGCTTTCACTTTAAAAAAAGCAGAGCAAAATAAACCCAGAGAAAGGTGAGAGAAGGAAATAAGGACAAAAATGAATAAAATTGGAAAAAGGAAGACAACTGAGAAAATCAACAACACTAAAAGATGATTCTTTAAAAAGAACAGCAAAATTGATAAACCTGTAGCAAAATTGACAAAGGTAAAAAGAGAAAAAATACAAATTGCCAATATCAGGAATAAAACCAGGATTTCATTACAGATTCTGTGGCCACTAAAAGGATAAAAAGAAATATGAAAAACTATACGCATTATTGCAACTACCTACATGAAATGGATTAATTCCTTGAAAACCGCACACTACCAAGATTCAACTATATGAACTGAATTATCTGAATAGCCTTATAATTACTAAAGAAATTCAATCTATAATTAGGGAATGGGGTATTAGGTTAACATATTTTCAGAACTAAAAGGAGACATGAGAAGAAATCAAAGCTAGACACTGCCATTTAATCAAGACTTTTCTACCAATCGTTTTATTGCTATACAAAATTAGTAGAAAAATAACAGACCATAGAAATCTATGTTTTTACATTGTGTGTATCATAATTTTACTTATTTAAAAATTATTCTTGAAGAGCAGATTTAATCATGAATATACTAAGGACCAAAGCAATTTAACATGAGTTTGTGAGATAAAATATGGAATGTCTAGTTTGATGTAAATTTCGGAGAAACAATGAATAATATTTTTAGAATGAATATATTCCATGAGACATTTGTAACACATACCAAATAAATACAAACACACACCAAATCAAAAACTCAAAATTAAGTAGAATCTGATAAAGAAGAAAGATTTTCATAAAGTATTTCACCTAGAAATTTCAGGAAGTCCAAAATGTATGAATGATCTACATGGGAAATGTTCTATTTTTAATAGATGATGCATAGAATAAAAAAAAAAAAAAGCACTTCCAAAATACGAACTAGTCTTCTTAAGATTGATGATATTATAATCAATCATAAATCATATGATTAAGAATAGATTGTATTTAAATTCTGGGAAAAAGCACTACTAAACAATAAAAATCAAGAAGTGGCCAAAAATAGTTATTCCTTGGCTATAAATTACTCTACAGTATTTGGAAACAAATGACAATATCTGACATATTTTCAATGTCCCGATGTAGCAGAGATACAGTCAATGCAGGTTCTCACATATTTTAAATGACTCACAATAAATCAGCTGTTACAGTTTCTGGTTCTTTGTGGGCACTCTGTTTTCTAACATCTAGATTAAAATGCAAGATCCTGTGACTCTTCTAACTTGTTTCTGGGAAAAACAATCAACAAGTCATGAACTCAGTTTCTAGTTAGATGGTGAACTCTCTGAATGAGTTTATGAATCACGGGCTCACTCTACTCACCTGTAAAATAAGTAGAATTAGGTTCATTCTGTGTTTCTTAAATAGAGGGTGAAGTGCCGGTGCAACTAAGAAATAATATTTCAGGATATGCCAAAAGCCATAGAATAAATATAGGGCATCTTGCTAAAATATAGAATGAATGGCCAGCACAGTGGCTCATGCCTATAATCCCAGCACTTTGGGAGGCTGAGGCGGGTGGATCACGAGGTCAGGAGATCGAGACCATCCTGGCTAACACAGTGAAACCCCGTCTCTACTAAAAATACAAAAAATTAGCCGGGTGTCTTGGCACGCGCCTGTGGTCCCAGCTACTCAGAAGGCTGAGGCAGGAGAATTCCTTGAACCCGGGAGGTGGAGGTTGCAGTGAGCTGAGATCGCACCACTACACTCCAGCCTGGGCAACAGAGTGAGACTCCATCTCAAAAAAAAAAAAAAAAAAAAAAAAAAAAAAAATATATATATATATATATGGAGAGAGAGAGAGAGAGAGAGAATAAAGGATATTTAGTTGCACAAAGTCCTGGTGTGCTAATTTTTAGAGAAGTTAATATATCAAATGAAATATGAAATAAGAAAATGTCATTCAGTAAAAGCATTATTCAAGTGTTAGAATACCATGGGGCATGCTTGTTATGAAAGTGTAACCAGAGATGTCAGTTAAATTGTCTACTAGAATAGTGAGTATTGTTGATTATACACAAAGTTTTTGGTTTGGCTAGTGGGGAGTTAAAGCTTGGGTATAAAGCTAAATGTTCTGGACACAAGAAAGTTAGCCTCACTCTGAGTGCTGTAACTAAATCACCTCCTTCTCTGATTCGCCCCAAGCAAAATCAAAGGTGCTGAATGCGATCATGACATATTGATGTTAAGAACTGCAAAATTATTTCCACATGGAAATAATTTATAACAAGTTTATAAATTACTAAATTATCTGGCTTGACTAGTCTGAAACATCAATAGACTTACACAACAAAATGCAAAACAGACATGGTTTTTTAAATGTCTAAGTATTAAGAGAAATTTCTCCCATAGCCCTTTAACACTCTGTCCTCAGAGGTTCAGGATGCTAATTGATTCTTAGCATCGCCTTGTAGACACTCTATAAATTCCCCTCTGTTGGATGACTTGTTTCCTTGCTTTGCTAATTTTATACAATCACAACATGCCAAACTTGTGAGATAACATTTGAAATTAAAAACAGTAAGTTTAGGAAAAGAAGAGGAGATCTGTTTTATAAAAAATCATTCAGTGACTTTGTGTTGTTGAGCTTTTTAAAAAGTATTCTTTTCTCTGCTTATTAATTTTAAACAAAGATCTATATTGACCTAAAAGGAAGAGGCTGAGGCACAAAATATAATTTAAAGAGTTTACTTGACCCAAAGTGAGGGCAGCTACCCAAAAAACTCATACCCAAGTAACTTTGGATATGAGCTCTGTTTGGCCTATGATACAAAAAAGAGGGACAGGCAGTGGGCTGCTACAGAGTTTTCATTTGTCAGAAATTCACAGTGATTTATAGAAATAATATTAATTGGTGGTTGGATATACATTATTGATCTATAGGGTATGGGTTATAGTGTCCAATGTGGCACTGTTAGGTTAATGAGTAGCTACTTGTGACAATAGCAGGCAGTTTCAAGAGATAAATATGTAGCTGAAGGGGGGAAGTAGGATATGATTGCTGTCTGATTTTAGTGTCCCTCCGGTCCTGATTGTTTAAAAAAAAATCACATTCCTCAGATAAAAGTTCTTTTCTCACCTAATTAGAACTAATGTAAAGACATAACCAAAGTAATACCTGAAATATAAAGATTTTATGTGTTTAGTTTACAATATAAAGGAATTCGTGGAGCATCGAGATAAATTTTGTATTTTGATGTGGAATGAAAAAGGGGATATCACATTTTATTTAAAGTCTTTACATATTTTATTCATATGGTTCTCTGATTCTCTTTCTTCTTTCTGATTAGGGAATAACAAACTAAATATTAAATATTTCTGTTCATCTTTGAATATTTTAAACCAAATTCACTCTGATTTATTTCATCTATGCCGTTTTGCCTAAAGAAAACCAAGGACAACTTTGGTTCTACTTGAAATTTATGGGTTCATTAAAAGAAATCGTTAAAATGTCTCGGATAATTTTGTTATAGGAAACAAGATGACCTAAAATTTCCTAAGGTATTTATTGCCTTGTCTACCACTTCTTGAGACAGTTTTCAAAACATAGAGATCTCAAAGTAATTCACTTTCAAACCATTTTTCCTCTTAGTCTCAAATCTTTTCATCATGTGTATTAGTCTCTGTGTCATGATGGCTAGGTTGCCAGTGTTTTCTTTAACAAAGAGTACATAATTATGTATGTTGGCCTTTGCCCATATATTTACCTGGAATGCAAATATACGATCTGAATCATTTTCATTAGACAGAACATGGGTAAACAGAAAGTAGCTATGGGGTAGTGGTACAATTTAACAGGAATAAATCAGTGAATCCGAGAACTAAAGAACCGTCCAACTTTCATGTGGCCTGGGTTCCTAACGTTCATGCACAGATGAATGACCCAAACAGCTACAGCACATAATAGAGCCATCATACAAAATGCATGTCCTTACAACTCTTGAAAATCTGGGACTTTACATCTTTATCAGAATTCTGTTGCTGAGGAGGGCAGTTTTGTTTGTAGTTCAATCTTCAGACAGCATCACTGTATAATATCAAATATGATAGCAGAACTACATCTTTTAACTCTTTATATCCTTATCACCTGGCTTAAAATAAGTACATAATATGTTTATGTTTATGATGGCACGATGTACCTGTTGATTTAAATAATGGCTAGTTATGTCACATGTGTGGGGACTGTGAGAGAATTAACCCTGTTTCTTGATGCAACTCAGGTTATTTAAATCAACTCAGGTTATTGGAATCATTTTATCTAAGGGGAAGATTCTTCGGTAAAATAAAAGAAATAACTGAGAATCCTCATGGCATTAATTTCTTCATGAATTACTTTAGAATTTTGTTTTGTATTTCTTCTAATGACTATGTTTAAGGAATAAGAAATCAATCTGAGAAAGCCAAGAGTGTTGGGAAACATAGGCCTGGACTGCCCGATTTTGGCAACTTATCAATTACAAATGGCATCTTCAGTGCCTTTGTCTCCCTCTCCTTCGCTGTTGTTCCCTTTGTAAAGGGAAGAATCAGTGGAACATGGAATAGGTCCTAGTAATACAGTTTAGCGTTATTTTTCAGGCTACATATGAAGCCATAAACTTCTAAAACCTAATTCCTGTGACAAAGCTTGTAAAAAGAAGGTACAATAGTGCATCATAAATCCAACCTTCTGCCACTGACTGAAGCAGAAGGAAATCTGGTACAATTTAATCTGCTTTAGTTACAAGGTTAAGAATGTAATCTTGTGAAAAACAAATCTATAATCAGAATTAAAATTCAGTGTTCTTAAAATAAAGAGCTTTGTGATAGAAAATTATAGAAGAGCTTTTTCAAGAAGTCTTAATGTCCACCATATTTATTTCTTTAAATGATTCAGTTGGGGGGTTTGAAAGTATCTCTGAGATGTAATACACCTAAATTTTGATTATTTAAAATTTCTAATTGTAAAAGAAGTTATTGAAGATATAGCACCTAACTACAAATTTGAAAGTAATGTTTCTCCTAATCAGGCTTACTTTTTAGGTCTTTGCAATAACAAATGCTTTGAGAAGTTATGTATCAGTTTATGCAGACATAGTAGGAATTATCTTTATGGTTAAATCAGGATTTCCTGAAGCAGTTACTCTTTTGGATTTCTTTCTTTATTTTTTACCATTTTTGCTTCCTGACTGAAAATATTTTTAGTCAAAATGTATATTGTTTTCATGAAGGTGGTCAAAATAGAAGCTTAGAATTTAATTAATTCTCACCTTACATATATTTTACATCTTTCCTAGAACTGAACAAAGGGCTTTGCACCAAAGATTAGATTATTAAAAAAAAAACAAAACAGAACAAATCAGAAACTAGTCAGGACAGGGTTGGATTGTAGTGTTGCTTGTGTGCTAGAAATTCCTTCACTGGTTTAGTACACTCAACACAAGTATGACTACATTTTCAGTGTTTGTCTGTTTTTTCTTTTTTAGAGATTGGTTCTTACTTTGTCTCCCAGGCTAGAGTTCAGTGGTGTGATCACAGCTCTCTGTAGCCTCAAACTCCTGGGCTCAAGCAATCTTCCTGCCTCAGCCTCTCAAGTTGTTAGGACTACAGACAAGTGCCACTATGCCCAGCTATATTTTTTCTTTTCTTTTCTTCTCTTTTTTTTTTTTTTTTTGAGACAAGGTCTTGCTATTTTGCCCATGCTGGTGTCAAACTACTGTCTCAAGAGATTCTCCCACCTTGGCCTCCCAAAGTGCAGGAATTGAGGGCACAAGCCACTGTGCCTTGCTTCTGTGCTGTTTAAATAAAATCCATATCATACTTGTGGCAGATTATATTTTTCAAAAATGATTGTGCTGACATTTCGATGCTATATGCTATTCCAGAACCTTGCAACACTTCTATCAAAAGGTGGAATTTATTTACCCCCTCACTGAATTTGGATGGTACTTTGTAACCCTTTCAGACATTACCCCTTTCACCTTCTGAGGCTCATGACCTCATGACTCTTCCACAATGCTTGCCCTTGGAACACAGCCACTCTATTGTGAGGAAGCCTATATCACATGGAAGGCCATATGTGGATGTCCTGGCAGACAGCCCCAGTTAAGGTCTCAGCTGACATCCAGCCTCTACCACCATACATGTGAGTAAGTAAAGTTTCAGAAGATCCTACTGCCCAGCTTCTTGTGGCACTAGCTGATGCCAAGAATAGTAGAGATGAACTATCTCCACTGAGCACTAACCAGATTACAGATTTGTGAGCAAAGTAAATGACTATTGTTTCAGGCCACTAAGTTTTGGGGTAGTTATTTTCATAGATATAGGCAACTGAGTCATTGGCAGAATGTAAATGGGGAGAGCAAAGAATCGGAAGAGAACATGGAATAAGTATTAATAAGTGAAGTAGCCATATTTCTCACTGTTTTGAAGTTCTAGATTTAAATATCAAATACGAATATCTGATAGATTGTTCAGTCTTATCCCTTAAATCTTAAAGTGAGAGAAGGGACTAATGCCCTCTGTCATACATGATACCAATTTCAGACCATTATCTCTTTGTCTTTTTGTAATACTCATTCCTCTTTGAGCCACATAACATTTCTAATACTATCTTTTACTTCTGTTCATCATGAAGCTGGCCCAATTTCCCCATAGAACTGATGTTTACTGTTTTTTTAGATAAACATAGAAATTGACCCTTCCAGTCTTAAAGCTTAAAACTTACATTA